>NC_000023.11:92159511-92462542 GCF_000001405.40 Homo sapiens | reverse complement strand
AAAGTATGCCTTTAAGCTATCCAAAATGTTTGAAACAATTTTAGCTCTCAAACATTTCATACCTTTTAATACTCAATCTGTTCTTGAGAGGGTGAATTCTAAATTAAGGCCATTTTTAAATGGGACTTGGTGGTGTATCTGGTCTTTAGGTCCACAGTGAAATTGATTTGTAAAGCGTGTTCCTTTGCATGATTTTAATGCAGACAAAATACATGCCTCCAAGGTAATAATGTACAATCTGTACATTGCTAAAAGACTTAAGTTTTAAAATTCCTTCCTTGTGAAATTGAAAATAAGTTTCTTCTAAGCAATTTACCCAATTTCGAAGCTTTGACTGGTTTGTCAACAAACCTTTTTGAGTTGTGCACATAGAAATAAAACAGGGATAAAACTCAATCATATCTAGAGAGAGAATATAATTGAAGTTTTTTAGAATAAAAAATTTCAAAACTTTTTCTTCACATTTTCACCAACCTGTTTGCTCTATTACAAACTAATTTAAAAATTTGCTGTACTATAAAGAAAACAGTAGGTAATTAAAGTCTCTATATTGCATAAGTAAATGGACATGATATCAGGAAACAACTTTTACTTAAACACTTGAAGGTAGGCCATTTGTATATATTATTTTGAGAAATGTCTATTACAATCTCTTGTCTATTTATTAATCACCTTTTTTCCTATTGAGTTGTTTGAGCTCCTCATATATTCTGGTTATTAATTCCTTGCCAGATGAGTAGTTTACAAATATTTCCCCCCCTTCTGTGGGTTGTCTCATCACTTTGTTGATTGTTTCCTTTGCTGTGCAGAAACTTTTTAACTTGCTGTGATCCCATTTGTCCATTTTTTGGTTTGATTGCTTGTGCCTCTGGGGCATTGGTCAATAAGTCTTTGCCAAGACCAATGTCCTGGATAGTTTCTCCAATGTTTTCTTGTAGTAGTTTCATAGTTTAAGGTCTTAGATTTAAGTGTTTAATCCACTTGGATTTGATTTTTGTATATAGCAAGAGATACGGGTCAAGTTTAATTCTTCTGCATATGGATATCCAGTTTTCCCAGAACCATTTAATGAAGAGACTCTCTTTTCCTCAGTTTATATTCCTGGCGCCTTTGTCAAAAATGAGTTCACTGTAGGTATGTGAATTTGTTTGTGGGTTCTCTATTCTGTTCCCCTGGTATATGTGTCTATTTTTATGCCAGTACCATGCTGTTTTGGTTACTATGGCTCTGTAGTATAATTTGAAGTCAGGTACTATGATTCCCCCAGTGTAGTTATTTTTGCTTAGCATAGCTTTGGTTATTCTGGGTCTTTTGTGGTTCCATATAAATTTTAGGATTATTTTTTCCATTTCTCTGAAGAATGTCATCGGTGTTTTGATAGGAATTGTAGATGGCTTTGGGTAGTATGGACTTTGTAACAATATAGATTTTTCAAATCTATGAATATGAAATGTCTTTCAATTTTTTTGTATCTGCCTCAATTTCTTTCATCAATGTTTTATAGTTTTCATTGTTTAAATCTTTTTTTTTTTTAACTCTGTACTTTTTATTGGCCTCCTGCTCCCCAAAGGGTACCCTGCTTCTGCTGGCTTAATGCCTCAGAACTTTGGTGTTGTTGGTCTCAGACACCACTTTGCCATCCACTTTCCGGCGGGTGGTGGTCTTTTGGATGGTTTGCATGGAGTTCCTGCTGTCCAAGGCATCACCAAGAGTGAAGTCCTCGCCATCTTCCAGCAGGCGGCGGTAGGTGGCGATCTCAGCCTCCAGCTTGACCTTGATGTTCAGCAGGGCCTCATTACTCCTGGGCCTGGCACTGTCTCTCTGCCCGGGTCTGTGCCAGCTCTGACTCCAGGTGCAGCAGGATCCCGATGAGCTGCACCATCTGTAGGGAGTAGCGGGCCTCCACCTCCCTCGGGTTGTTCTCCAAGCTGGCCTTCAGATTTCTCATGGAGTCCAGGTCGATCTCCAAGGACTGGACTGTACGTCTCAGCTCTGTGAGCGTCATCTCAGCAGCTCCAACCTCGGCGGACTGTGGTGACCACTGTGGTGTTCTCCTCAAACTGCTGAGGCCAGTATTTGTCTAGCTCCTCTCGGTTCTTCCCAGCCAGGTCGTCATATTGGGCCCGGATGTCTGCCATGATCTTGGCGAGGTCCTGAGATTTGGGGGCATCTACCTCCACGGTCAACCTAAAGCTGGCAATCTGGGCTTGTAGGCCTTTTACTTCCTCTTCGTGGTTCTTCATGAAGAGCAGCTCCTCCCTGAGAGCCTCAATCTCTGTCTCCAGCTGCAGTCAAGTGACATTGGTGTCATCAATGACCTTGCGGAGCCCATGGATGTCGTTCTCCACAGACTGGCGCATCGCCAGCTGTGTCTCATACTTGACTCTAAAGTCATCAGCAGCAAGACGGGCATTGTCAATATGCAGAACGATGCAGGCATTGTCCACAGTATTTGCGAAGATCTGAGCCCTCAGGTCCTCGATGGTCTTGCAGTAATGGCTCCAGTCTTTGACCTGGGGTCCCTTATTCTCCAAGTGCTCCCGGATTTTGCTCTCCAGCCTACGGTTCTCAGTCTCCAGGCTCCTCACTCTGTCCAGGTAAGAGGCCAGGCGGTCGTTCAGGCTTTGCATGGTCTTCTTGTTCTGGATGCCTCCCATTCCTGCCAGACCCCCAGCCATCCCCGCGGCCAGGCCCCCAGGCCCCATGCCACCCCGGAAGCTGGTGGAGCGGGACACGGAGATCCGGGAACCAGAGCCCCCGGCGCCTGCATAGACGCTGGCCGCGCTGCTGACCGGCCGGGCGCCGTAGCTGGGCGCCTGGACAGAGCCCAGTGACTGGTAGTTGGTGGAGAAGGTGGACCGAGTGGTGAAGCTCATGCTGTCCGGGGAGGAGAGAGATAGGACAGGACTCAGGCTTTGCCGACGATGGTGGCCCATTGTAGAAATCTTTCAAGTTTTTGGTTATTTACTCCTGGATACTTTGTTTTATTTTTAGCTATTGTAAATGGTGTTTCTTTTTTGGTTTCTTTTGCAACTTATTTGCTGTTGGCATATAGAAATGCTACTAATGTTTTTCTATGTATGTTGGATTTGTATCCTGCAACTTTACTAATTCCAATTTGTTTATCAGTTCCAATAGTTTTTTGGTGAGGACTTTAAGGTTTTTTTAAATATAAGATTACGTTGTCTACAAACAAGAATAATTTGACTTCTTCTTTTTCAATTTGAATGCCCTTTATTTCCTTCTCTTATCTAAGTAGAGAACTATGTTGAATAAAAGTGGTAAAAGTGCACATGCTTTTATTGTTCTTGATCTTAGAGGAAAGAGTTACAGACTTTCCTTGTTTGGTATGATACTAGCTGTGGGCTTAACAAATGTGACTTTTATTGTGTTGATATATGTTCATTCTATACCCAGTTTTTCGAGAGATGCCAATCAAAACTACAATGAGAAATCATCTCGCCCCAGTTAAAATGGCTTTTATCCAAAAGAGAGGCAATCACAAATTCTGGCAAGGGTAGGGATAAAAGGGAACGCTCCTACGCTTTTGATGAAAATGTAAATTAGTACAACCACTATGGAGAACAGTATAGAGGTTCCTCAAAAAACTAAAATTAGACCCACCATATGATCCAGCAATTCCACTGTTGGGTTTAAATCCAAATGAAAGAAAATCAGTATATCAAAGAGATATCTGCACTCCCGTGTTTATTTTGCAGCACTATTCACAATAGCCAAGAAATGAAAGCAATCTAAGTGTCCAATGGATGAATGGATAAAGAAAATGTGCTGCATATTCAGAATGGGTTATCATTCAGCCATAAAGAAAATGAAATTCTGTCATTTGCAACAACATGTATGGAGCTGAAGGATATTATGTTAAGTGAATTAAGTCAGACACAGAAAGACAAATGTTACATGTTTTCAATCATATATGGCAGCTAAAAAAAAATTTGAACTCAATGGAGGTTGAGAGTGAAATGATGATTGCCAAAGGCTGGAAAGCATAGAGGAGACAGAAGGATAAAGTGAAGATAGTTAATGTGTACAAACATAGAGTTAGATAGAATGCATAAGATCTAGTATTTGGTGGCACAATAGGGTGACTCTAGTTAACAGTATTTTGTTGTTTATTTTTAAATAACTAAAAGAGTGGAATTGGAATGTTCCTAAAACAAAAAAATGATAAAGGCTTGAGATGATGTGTTCTCTAATTACCCTGACTTGATCATTATACATTATATGTCTGTATCAAAACATTACACATACCTCATAAAAATATACAACTATTATATACCCATAATAAAGTTAAAAATAACAAATAAAAATAAGCACTTGAAAGTCTTATTTTATTAGTGAATGTCAGTTTTGTAAGTTCTATAGCATATTTTCTCTTTCTGTATGTTCGTATGCCTTGCTAAACATATTAAGCTCTGCACACAACTTAGGACATAGTTTGGAAACAGAGATTTCATTTGAGAAGTACTTATATTGATCATATATTATACGCATGTCTATACTTATATTAATACTATATTATTTACATTTTCTATTACATATAGCATATGTAACAGAAAACTGGAATAAGAAATAGGTCATATAATTACCATTTCAAAAATATCTATTTCAACTTTATTTTAGGCAGATGTTTACATGTTTTTGTATATGAAAGCATGTTTTTTAAAATCCATAAAGAAAAATTTGAACTTATTTCAATAATGTTCACTATCATAAATATTGCATTGTTCCCCCAAAGTAATGTTCTATTACTTTCACTTTAAAATGTGCTACAAAATGAGAAAGATAGTGATGTTTATTCATTGACAGTATTTTTCCTCCTAATACATCAGTTTAGAGAGATGCATCTGGATGGACAACTTATAAAACTCCAAATAAATTGATTATTTTATTATATAGATCTTAATATTTACATATAAAATATTTAAGGAGATGAAATAATTGAAACGAAAGTATGGTTTTGGAAGTGCAAGCTGACTTGATAATTCTCTTTATAAATATGTTTTCATAATCTCACATGTGATATTAGCATGGACTGAAGTTGTGATTTCTTGTAATCACAGTGAATTACTGACAGCTTAACAGTAGTACCATGCTGGCATTTTCAAAGAATTGGAGACTTTGATTTATTTTCTATATTTATATTTTTTCTCTCTAATATATATCTTATTGGGACTTTGTAACTGTATGAACACAAGCTTTGGCAGAAATTTTTAGTCTTGGAACCAACTGGTTATTTATATGTTGTATTGTAACACATGGGGAAAGGAGGGATCCTTGAAATCATAGGCCACATCTAAAAATACAGTCTCTGAATAATGCTATTGTTTTAACTATTAGGGAAATCATATCAAAGAAAAAATGAAAAATAAATGTATTAGAAAATTTGTTTTCCATTATAACAAAGGAATGGAATAAAATCAAATCCGTTTGCTTGATATTGAAAGATATATGATTATTATTTTAGTTTAAATATAAATTATTTTAAAATTTACTGTTTAATGGCAATGTTCATGCATAATTGTTATCCACAGAATTACTTAGTTTTACATTTTCAAGTATCAATGGATAAACCAGACATATGGGAATTTGGCTACAGATTTTAGGAATAAACAAGAAAAGACATTTTCCATGTGGTGAAACATATTGGATATCTACTGTGGAGAACCAATCTTCTTAGATGATATGTTGATAAATATTTTATGTCAGCAAAGAACAAAGCATAAAAAGCAGTGCCACAAACATGAAGAGGAAGCGAAAATACAAGCAAGCTATTTCAAACAGAATTAAATAAAAGCTTATATGCGCAGGAAGAGGAGGGGGAGTATGAGGAACTTATTTTATCAGTCTGACAGATTAACTCACTGCAAAAGACATGTTAAAAGGTTTTTTGAATAAACCAAATGCTGTCTGCCTTAAAAATCATCTGCACTTCATGATTAGAAGATACAGATTTAAGGTAATGGCTCTTTGGATACTCAAAATATAAATATTATATTTTGGTATTTGTAAAAGGAGAGTATACCGCTAAGAGATAAAATGTTGCCTAAGTTTTAGTTCTTATATAACAAGGAAGGAGATATAAATCTTTAATACACTATAAATTTGATTCTGCATTTGTCTGAGTTCCTATTAATCTCTCCCTTTACTTTGTTTCTTTAAACATAAAATGATGTTTCTGCTACACAGTTTGTAGAATTCACACAGAAATTAGTTCAAATACGCATATTAATATTGCTAAGAATTTGACTGAAATTTAGTCTAAGAGAATATAACCATGACTAGCTAAGATATTTATTTAAACTATAAGCCAGTCCTATCCATTCCTCGAATGCACATTGTGCTCAGATGAAATATCATGTCCCATGATGAAAAATATATATCCCCGATCCCTAAGAAGCAATATTTTCCTATTCTCTTTCAATTTTTGTACTCTGTTGTACAAAGAATTACCAGTGTTCACTTATTTTGCATGGACATAACTCACTGAAAAACTTTCCGAAATGATTTTACTTTTAAAAAGTAGAATTAACTTCAAGTCAGCATGTACTTTTGCTCATGGAAATTAAAGGGTATTTTTTATAATTTGCCAAAATTCCCAAAACACAATGTGAGTTTCCTAAAATACAACAATCAATTCTTCTGATTTTTCCCCTATAATTTGAAATCTTATACGAGAATTTCAAGTGTCAAGACAGAGAGAAATGTACTCATATCTTGAATAACAAATACATTTGGTTTAAGTAAGATTTTGAAATTATATTTTTTCCTACTAGAAGAGATTTTTTTAAGAATACAAATTATCCCCATAGGTTGACTAAGTTAAATAAGAATTTGTCATGTGATTTTGAATTAGATATGGATAAACTTCCTAATTCTTTTTTTAAATTTTCATTAAACTGTTGTTATTTCCTATAAATAATTAATGGAATAACTTGAAAAGGAGGTCATGTGTGGTGGCTCATGCCTATAATTCCAAGGCTTTGGATGGCTAAGGCAGGAGTATGGCTTGAGGCAAGGAGCTCCAGGCTAAAGTGAGCCATGATCACACCACTGCACTTCAGCCTGGGAGACAGAGTGAGACCCTGTCTCTAAAAATAAATAAATAAGCCAAAGTTAGTGCATCATTACATTCTTTCAACATTACACTATATACCAGTATTACTGAATTCTGAGGACCTTTCTCAAAATCCCTTCCTTTTGAAAAATGGGCACCATCAGGAATGGGCACATAATGTTCCCAGCTATCACTTGGCCCTTTAGCTAAAATAATTTAAATGAGATACATTGAGAAGAAGACATGATTAGCAATGAACTATATAATCTAAATCAAAGATTTAGGAGTCATAAAGGTATCACAGAATGTAGCACTGATACTAATAAAAACATGATGCCACAAAACACACAAGTGTTAACACAAATGCAAAACTTCCTGACAACAAAAGTCACTAAGAACAAATCCTTTACATAGGTGAAACTATTTTCTGGCAATATATAATCAAAACCCAGTCATATTCTAGGGAAAAAGATACATGCAGAAGCAAATAATGCATTAACACATTTCCTCAAAATATTTTCTCAAAATTTTTGTGCAAGATTAATGTATATTTAGTTTACATAAGGTTTACATAAAGGATAAGCTAAAATTGTGTCGGGTATGATGCCACCTTAAATAATATTTGTTGAATTAATGAAAACATGTTGAAAGTTTAAGGGTCAATATGTCACAATTACCCTGTGATACTCATTCCAGCTCAGTGAAAAGGAACAAAGCCAAACCTAAGAATGAAAGAAAAAATTGTATTTCATTCATGCCCATATCTAATCCATTTCTCACCCTTTTAAGACAAATTTCCTAAATAGTCTTTTTCTCAGACTTCTTTATAACCCATTTCTTTCATAATGAACATTCTTCTGCATCATCAACTTAGTTTTCCAAGCCATGAATTCTTCACCAATAAGAATTTCTGGAACACTGTACTGTACTGTTCATATCTTTTAAACTTAAAAAAAGAAAAAATATTTTTGCTAACTATGCCTGTTTGTGTAGAATTTCCAAATCTAAAACACCACCAAAATAGAGCATTTCTGACACTCGTTGAACCAAACATATTATTGATTATTTAGTATGTTTCAGGTCTTGCTATGTACCAAGAACACTGTGCTGAATAAATGACATTGTCCCAGACCCGACTTAGCACTTATTTTATATGTTTGTGTATATATATGTATTTAGATAGACACATATTTAGATACACATATATTTTACATATAGATATATAATATCTATATATACTGATTATATATAAATATGTATATATACACTACACATATAATTATATATAATTATAATACATATAATTTTATTATATGTTTAATTTATATCTGTATGAAGATATGCTAATTTACAGGCCTGTATTTAGCATTTTTGAGCAGTCTTTTCATTCTGTAATTAGTATGCTGTGTAACTAATTTCACTTCTGTGAGCCACTTTTTAAAATGGGCAGGTGAGGTGACATTTTTCTATAAGTGATTGATTCAAACTAATTATCTTTATACAAGTACAGATACAGATTATGGAACATCAGCCCACCGGAACTATTACTGTTATTTTAAATTTTACAATATATTCAATTTATACGCACACAAAGCAAGTAGGTACAGTTTTCATTGAAAATATTATTAATATAGCAAGAGTCAAAAGACCACACAAATTTCACCTGATTCGCAAATACCTGCAATCACTTTACAAGCTCTGACTTTTAAGAATGTAGGTATTTTAAACGCTATTTCAAATCAAAGAAATACCTTCTTTGGTTTTCAAAAGACATGTAGATCATACACTGTCTCAGCAGAAAAAATTATTGAAAAATAATTTAGTAGACAATAGAGAAAAGTAAAACACAGCACTGTATGTCGTACCATAAAAAGAAAAAAACCCATAATCTCATTCTGTTAACTAAATAGTTGGAGAGGATTCCATGAATATGCCTTTTGAATTTGATAGCATTTCTTGTGTCAAAATTTGACTACTGATTAGAAAGACAACTGACAGAATTTTCACATCTCTACCATTACATTGCTTACTTGGTATGCAACTTCACAGACTTAATGTAGTTTGTAAAGTCAGTATACAGGAATTCATCTTCCTATAGTTTCATAAAATAACATTAATTCGGATGAAATTTAGAACAGATACTCATGACTACAATATTTGCTATGAGTTTCTATATGGTTGTCCTGTGTGATATGTGATATGGTGGTCCAAAAAAATGTTTATCATAGTGTAATTCACCAAAATAAGCCACTTCACTAGTTTGCATTGACTTAGCAATAAAGGAATTCATTTGTTCTCTATCATTAATATATAATCCCAAATTAATATTTAATACTGCATAGATTGTGTCATTACCGGTTACATTTATAAGACAGATTTAAGAGAAGTGGAGAAGTATTTGTCTACTTCAAACACTGTTATAAATATTGACATATCCATAAAAAGGCAACATAATTATAATTCCACATAAGTCATTCACTAAGAATGCAAGGTAACTTGTAAAAGAGGGGTAGGAGAAAATAACAAAAACTAAAATATGCGGGTAAAATAAGGAAGACAAAGAGGGGCAGAATAAAATAACAAAAACAATAATACAGAAGTAAAAGAAGAAAGACCCAAATACTCCAAGTGCTATATTAGATCATATTTAATATTATATAATATATAAACTTGCTGGGGGTGGTGGCTCACGCCTGTAGTCCCAGCACTTTGGGAGGCCGAGGCAGGCAGATCATGAGGTCAGGAGATTGAGACCATCCTGGCCAACATGGTGAAACCCCGTCTCTACTAAAATACAAAAAAATTAGCTGGGTGTGGTGGGGCATGCCTGTAGTCCCAGCTACTTGGGAGGCTGAGACAGGTGAATTGCTTGAACCCAGGAGGTGGAGGTTGCAGTGAGCAGAGATCATGCCACTGCACTCCAGCCTGGTGACAGAGCAAGACTCCATCTCAAAAAAAAAAAAAAAAACATATATATATATATATATATATATATATATATATACACACACACACATCTATATTATACAAACTACTATATATGTAATTTTTCTGTTTTTAGCAGCTTTGCAGTACAGTGCTCAAATATCATTTTAATACTTATGCTATCAGGATGGGCTCATCTTTCTTACAGAGAGTTCAAAATTATTTTCATTCTTATAGAAAGTTTTTGCTGTAGATGTTAGTGAGCTCAGAAATGAGTAATTACTTGCTTGAGTTTATAAAGCTGTTAATATTTGAATCAAAATCGTATGGTTCGGATGAATATATTCTTTCTTTTGATAAATATTTGGTTTTGATAAATGAATTTCTACATGAATAAATATTCTCAGAAGGCATTTAGTCTGGATATAATATGGGTACATCTCTCTCTCTATCGACATAATTTGTCTATCCATATCCAAATACAGATAATATTAATATACAATAGAATTCACACATTTATGTGAACTAAAATATAACTTCACAGTCCTTCAGTTTTCATATCAGTTCCATGAATAACCTCAGATTAATAAATATATGATGATGTATAGTAGATGAAACTTTAATACCCATTTGAATCATTACCAGTCACCCTCCTGTTTCCTACATTTTGATTGTTAAACAAAACACAGAATTTAGTCTAGGGAGAATTTGACGTAATTAAAGGAAAATTTTCATTTCTGTCTGTCTACTAAAGTATTCTCTGATCATCGAATACTGTTAAGCAGTCAACTACAAACAAATTAGAATGCCAGAAGTTTGTGGCTCCTCGCTAAGTCAATCTGTATTAATCAGGTTTCATTGCTTTTCTTATCATGAAGTCTTTTTTATGTTACATTCAGCCTAACAAAGTCTTGAGAATATGCCTACTTAGCAAACACATTTTCTTACCCTGTAACGGAAATAATCGGTAGACTCAAAGATAAAACTTTACTTTTGTTCTCACTGGAACTCAAGTGGTGAATGATTGAAACACATTTTAAGGTTTTCCATTTAAATCAGTGGTTTTTAAAATTTGCATACACATAGATCAAATAGATAATTTTACAAAAATATTATTTCCAGGCTACACTCCCAGGGAAAATAATGATATTAGTAGGACATAGCATTAATATTTCTTTTTTGCCTTTTTAATTTTGGTAAAACATACATAAGATTTATATGTTATATGATGGATCTGCACATGAAAGTTTGAGGTACACTGATTTTAACTATTTAAAAAAATTATGCAAATGTACTTGTTTCATTCAAAAATTCATACTTTTGATTAAAGGCTAGGGTTGCTGTCGTGTAGCAGTCGGGTTACTGTGAAGGTATGGGCAAACTGCAAACAAACTTCTTGAGATATTAGAATGATCAAAAATTAAGTTTAGATTTGTAAATACAATGGTAAGTTGTGAAATCTTCCACAATTGGATGTCCTACTCTGATATAGCAAATGCATCAATATTAATAAATTGGAAACTTTTTTGACAGGCCTCTACTTAACCAACTCATTCGATTAAATAAAGCTCATTATTCTCACAGTGAATAAAACATTGACTTGATGAAGTCAACAAGCTTTATGTCCTCACCTCAGCTAGGATGCCACTTTACAGTATACCCACTCACTTCTGAGCCAAAGCGAGTTTATGCTTAAGAAAAGTCAGATATTGTTTTAAAATACATTTACATGAGCTGCATTTGCTATTGCAACCATTTAATTTAATTAAAATCTCATATAACCCAATGAAATGTTAATATAAAAATAATTGCTTCAAAGAAGATGAAATTGAACTTTTCAGAAAGATTACAAAGGGCAAAATGCTGCAATGACTTGTCATAGAGTACTGTCTGAGCAAGAGAACTACAGAAGATTCAGAAAAAGTATCATAAAACTCTAGAAGCATTCCATACTCAGAACACTTTTCAAGAGCACTTAAAAACACACTCCATTTTATGGGAACAAAAACCGGACACTACATATTATGTAATATTGGTAGAGTGTATGTAATAAATATGGTGCATTGTGCTAAAATCAGTGAACATACATCCAAAGGCAAGGCAAAGATTCTACATCAAATTATGAAAGATAAATGTACACTTCTTTGTTTCAAGTATTTATTTATCATATATATGTAACATATATGAGATATGTATGCATTTCTTAATGATTTACCTGTTCATCTGATTGCTTTGATGAACCATCTTACCTCTGATTCTGACTGTGACTGTTAAAAGAGCGTCTACTGGAATTAAATGGGGTTATGTGCTTACCAATAAAATCTTGATGTTCTATAACCTTCTAACCAAAGATTTCTTAGCCTAGCATTGTGAATAAAATTTAGCTCTAATATCTGATATCTGAGGTTGTATTCTTGGTGTGTATTTCTTGAGTGTATATTTGTGTGAGGAAAATTTTCCCAATGATCTGAGATGGATACAATGTAATTGACTTTATCTTTACCATTTCATGAACTCTATAATAAAGTTATTATTTATTCAATATATGCAATATTGATTTTTTAAATTATACAATTATACTGTTCCAAAATTTTAAGAGAAACACTATGATACATTAGTATCTGTTACACCTACCATGTGCCAGGGGGTCTCTTTTTGTATGCATTTTATCATTTCAACAACTCTCTGACATAAATACTATTTTCATTCCTGTTAAATCAATGGGGAAACTGAAGTTGAGATAGAAAGGTAGGTGACAGAGCTGAGAGTCTAACAAAGAGTTGCTGACTCTAGAGCTTTTTGTGGGCTTAACTACTGCATGATAATGACCTCCAGAATATTTTCTGGCAGAATGGGCAAAGCGCAATGTAATTTGAGCTCTCATGTATGATTCAAATATAATCACGATACTGTGTGTTTTAACCCATGCTCTATCATTATTTTTTTGTGAAATTTGTGCAAATAATCTATCCTTCTCCAGCCTCAATTTCCACATCTTTAAAATGGGGTATTTGTGTATATTATTATAAATGTTCACTTTAACTTTAAAAGAATTTTTACACTCTCATATCAGGGACTAAATTTTGAATTAATAGGTTGACCAGAAATTCAGTTTCTGTTGCTTGATGTTTCTTGGTCTTCCACTGTTCATGAGAATGATCAACCATCTGGGAATAGTGTGGTGACAAATAAAAAATATTCAGTTTAATAGTTTATTACAATTTCTAATACAGAAGATTGAAGCTGCTATACAAGAAGTTAATTTGAAAGTTGTGTAGTTCTCAAATAGCTATGTTGCCCTGATTCTATTCAGTTGACTATTTGTTGAGATTTTTCTCTAAAAATAAAGATCTAGACTCCACCTGTAGGTTAATAATTGTAATCCATCAAGAATGAGCAAAAAAATCAGAGCATGCCTATGCTGATCTATCTTTTCTGAATCAATTTAGTAGCTGAAGGGTGTCAAACACTTGTTAAGCTTGGTAAATCGAAGTAATGACATATTACATTATAAGAGGACTTTAGAAAAGTCCTATCTGCTACTGCACATTTAAGTGATGCCTATCCGAGGAACACTAAAGTAATCTGCAAAAGAACAGAGCTACTTATGTGAGTCATTCTAAAAAGATATGAAAAAATATGAAAATCTGTTGCTGTATATTTTTAAACATAATGCTTTTGCCAGCTAGCAAACAATAAAATTTCGGCTATAAGAAGTTACTGAAAACTATCGAAACCACATATACTACTTAGCCAAAACTTGGACTCCCCAAAATTCTCGAATTGTAAAGAGTTAATTAAGCTAATTAAGTACCCTTTCTCCACCACACACACATATTCTTGGTGGCGTATATGCTCAGTCTCTTTAGTTATCATTTTAAAAGATAGAGGAAATTTCGTGTGTTAGTCCATTTTCACACTGCTAATAACGACATACCTGAGACTGGGTAATTTATACAGGAAAAGGGTTTAATGAACATACAGTTCTACATGGCAGGGGGTGGAGGGGGCTCACACTCATGGCATAAAGCAAGGACGAGCAAGTCACATCTTACATGGATGGCAGCAGGCAAAGAAAGAGCTTGTTCAGGGACAATCCCATTTTTAAAACCATCAGATCTTGTGAGACTCATTCAGTACCAAGAGAACAGTGCAGGAAAGACCCACCCCCATAATTCAGTCACTTCCCACTGGGTTCCCCCCACAACATATGGGAATTGTGGGAGTTACAATTAAAGATGAGATTTGGGTGGAGACACAGCCAAACCATATCATTCCGCCCCTGGTGCATCCCAAATCTCACGTCTTAACATTTCAAAAACAGTCATACCTTCCCAACAGTCTCCCAAAGTCTTAACTCATTTCAGCATTAACTCAAAAGTCCACAGTCCAACATCTCATCTGAGACAAGGCAAGCCCCATTTGCCTATCAGCCTGTAAAATCAAAGGCAAATTAGTTACTTCCTAGATACAATGGGAGTACAGTCATTGGGTAAATACAACCATTTCAAATGGCAGAGATTGGCAAAACAAAGAGACTACAGGCCCCATGGAGGTCCAAAACTCAGCAGGGCAGTGAAATCTTAAAGCCCCAAAATGATCTCCTTTGACTCCATGTCTCACTTCCGGGTCATGCTGATGCAAGAAGTGGGTTCCCATGATCTTCAGCAGCTCCACCTCTGTGGCTTGGCAGGGTACACCCTCCCTCCCAGCTGCTTTCATAGGCTGTTGTTTAGTGTCTGTGGATTTTCCAGGCACGCAGTGCAAGCTGTCAGTGGATCTACCATTCTGGGGTCTGAGGGACAGTGGCCCTCTTTTCACAGCTCCACTAGGTGGTGCCCCAGTAGGGATTCTGTGTGCAGGCTCCGACCTCACATTTCCCTTCCACATTGCCCTAGCAGAGGTTCTCCATGAGGGCCCTGCCCCTGCAGCAAACTTCTGCTAGACATCCAGGTGTTTCCACAAATCCCCTGAAACCTAGGCAGAGGTTCCCAAACCTCATTTCTTGACTTCCATGCACCCACAGGCCCAACATCACATGGAAGCTGCCAAGGCTTGGAGCTTGCACCCTTTGAAGCCATGACTCGAGCTGTACCTTGGCCCCATTTATTTGTGGCTGGAGTGGCTGGGATGCAGTTACCAGTTCCCTAGACTGCACACAGCACAGGGACCTGAGCCTGGCCCACAAAGCCATTTTTAAATCCTAGACCTCTGGGCTTGTGATGGGAGGGGCTTCCACGAAGACCTCTCACATGCCCTGGTGACATTTTCCCCACTGTCTTGGTGATTAACATTCAGCTTCTAATTAGTTATGCAAATTTCTACAATTGGCTTTCATTTCTCCTCAAAAAATAGTAAATTCTTTTCTATCAAATTGTCAGGCTGCAAAATTTCTGTACTTTTATATCTGTTTTCCTTACAAAACTGAGTGCCTTTAACAGCACCCAAGTCACCTCTTGAATGCTTTGCCACTTAGAAATTTCTTCTGCTAGATACCTTAAATCATCTCTCTCAAGTTCAAAATTCCACAAATCTTTAGAGAAGGGGCAAAATGCTACCAGTCTCTTTGTTAAAACATAACAAGGGTCACTTTTGCTCCAGTTCCTCATTTCCATCTGACACCACCTCAGCCTGGACTTTATTGTGCATATTGCTGTCAGCATTTTGGGCAAAGCCATTCAACAAGTCTCTAGGGAGTTCCAAACTTTCCCACATTTTCCTATCTTCTTCTGAGCCCTCCAACTGTTCCAACCCCTGCTTGTTACCCAGCTCGAAAGTCACCTCCACATTTTCGGGTATCTTTTCAGCAGCACCCTACTCCTGGAACCAATTTACTGTATCAATCCATTTTCATGCTGCTCATAAAGACATATCTGAGACTGGGTAATTTATACGGGAAAGGATTTAATGGACTTACAGTTCCACATGGCTGGGGAGGCCTCACAATTATGGTAGAAGGCAAGGAGGAGCAAGTCACATCTTATAGGGATGGCAGCAGGCAAAGAGAGAGCTTGTGCAGGGAAACTTCCGTTTTTAAAGCCATCAGATCTTGTGAGACTCATTCAGTATCACAAGAACAGCACAGGAAAGGCCTGCCCCATAATTCAGTCACCTCCCACCAGGTTCCTCCTCCCACAGCATTTGGGAATTATGGGCATTAAATTCAAGATGAGATTTGGGTTGGGACACAGTGAAACCATATCATTGCATATAACATATTCAAGGCAATTTTGTACAATATTCTAGATAGTACATGCTCACTCCTGAGTCCATTTAATCCAAAAAGAAGTACATTATTTGCACACTACATAGGAAAGAGGCTGCACATGATATAGAATCATTTAAAATATTGGTTGATACTCAGAAAGTATTCTTTTTTTTTTTTTTTTAATTCTGCTTTGTGATGCCTTGAAGAAGAATTTCTAAGATTAAAATGTAGGTGTTATTAAGTAATAATAAGAATTTAAAATCTGGGCTGGCTTTGGTGACATATTGAGACATGACACAAAACCAATAATATGAGGTTAAATTAAGGAGTTCACTTAAGTTGAAGGCATTTGCTAACATGTTCTTTCAGAATTATTATGGAATCAAAGAGTAGGAACAAAAGCATAATTTTCTAATCCAGTTTGCTTTTTCATTCCAAATCTGAATTTTAGTTATTTGTGACACTGCTGAAAATTCTACTCTTAATCACATTCAAGGGATATTCTATGATATCCCATATATATTTTTTCAGCAGTGTATCTTACTAGAAAGAAGCAATTCCTCAGAGCTAGCATAATTTTTAATTATAATTTAATTCAATTCAACATTCTCTCCTATATCTAGTGAAAATAAAGTACACTTGATCTTAAATATCCTAGTTTCATTAAGTACTTACAATATTAAAAACAGTTTTAAAATCGGTTTTAGACTTCTCCTGATTCCTTTAAACTTTTCTTATGCATTAAGTTTTCCCAACTTAATTGTTTTCTTGGTCTCTTCTGAAAAACTATTCTTTTAGTTTTTTAACCCCTCATAATTTATGATGCATTCTTGATGTGAACTCTTAAAATCCATGTTGGAACTAACTTGTATTTATATCATTTTTTTTTTCAAGCAAGTTGTAGTATTTTAAAATATAAGATCTCCTCACAGAAATATACGTGATCCTCTGGGATTATTAAGAACAACTCTATGCACATGAACTAGATGATCTAGAGGAAACTGACAAATTCCTGGAAACATACAATCTTCCAAGATTGAATCAGGAAGAAGTTGAAATCCTAAAGAGAGGAACATCAAGTTCCAAAATTGAATCAATAGTAAAAAACCTACCAATCAAAAAAAAAAAAAAAAAAAAAAAAAGCCCTGGACCAAATGGATTCACAGTTCAATTCTACCAGAAGTACAAAGAAGAGCTGGTCCCAATTCTACTGAAACTATTCCAAAAAATCAAGGAGAAAGAGCTCCTCTGCAGCTCTTTCTAAAATACCAGCATCACCCTGAAAACAAAACCTGACAAAGACACAATAAGAAAAGGAAACTGTAGGCCAATATTCTTGATAAACACAGACATGAAAATCCTCAACAAAATACTAACAAATGGAATCTGACAGCACATCAAAAAGTTAACTTGTCATGATTGAATAGGCATTATTCATGAGACTGCAAGGTTGATTCAACATACACAAATCAATAAATGTGATTTACTACATAAACACAATTAAAAACAAAAACCATATTGTCATAAACTATTTTTCTCAATAGATGCAGAAAAAGCTTTTGATTAAATTCAACATCCCTTCATCATTAAAAAAAAAAAAAATCCAACAGACTAGGCATCAAAGGAACACACCTTAAAACAATAAGAGCCATCTATGACAAACATGCAGCCAACATCATATTAAATGGACAAAAGCTGGAAGCACTCCCTTTGAGAACTGCAACAGGACATGAATGCCTACTATCACCACTGTTATACAACATAGTATCAGAAGAGCTAGCCAGAGCAATCAGGAAAGGGAAAGAAACAAAAGTCAACCAAATAGGAAAAAAAGAAAAGAGTCAAACTACCACTGTTTGTGGTTGACAAAATTCTGTATTTAGAAAACCCTAAAGACTCTGTCAAAAAGTTCCTGGAACTGATAAAGAACTATGGTAAAGTTTCAGGATACAAAATCAATGTGCAAAAATCAGTAAATTTTTACACTCCTTCCCAAAAAAACATTCAAGCTGAGGGTCAAATCAAGAATGTCATCTCATTTACAATAACCACCAAAAACATAAAATACCTAGGAACACATCTAACCAAGGTGAAATATCTCTGCAAAGAGAACTACAAAACACTGCTCAAAGAAATCAGAGATGACAAAAACACATGGAAAAACGTTTCATGCTCATGGATTGGAAGACTTAATACATTAATATGGCCATACTGCCCAAAGCAATTTACAGATTCAACACTATTTCTGTCAAAGTACCAACATCATTTTTTACAGAACTAGAAAAAAAAACTATTCTAAAATTCATATGGTACAAAAAAGAGCCTGAATAGCAAAAGCTATGTTAAGCTAAAAGAAAAATACTGGAGGCATCACATTATCTGACTTTAAATTACACTATGAGGCTACAATAAAAAAAATAGCATGATACTAGTACAAAAACAGTCATGTAGACTAATGAAACAGGATAGAGAACCCAGAAATAAAGCTGCACACCTACATGAAACCATCTTATCTTCAACAAAGTCAACAAAATTAAGCAATAGGGAAAGGACTCCCTATGTTATAAATGATGCTGAGATAGCTGGCTAGCCACATGCAGAAGAATAATGGTAGATCCATACCTTTTACCACATACAAAAATTAACTCAAGATAAGTTGAAGGTTTAAATGTAAAACCTCTAACTATAAGAATCCTAGAAGAAAACCTAGAAAACACCATTCTGGAAATTGGCCTTGGGATATAATTTATGGCTGCATTCTCAAAAGTGATTACATCAAAAACAAAAATTCACAAGTGGGAACTGATTAAACTAAAGATCTTCTGCACAACAAAAGAAACTATCAGCAGAGGAAAAACAAAAACTCCAGCATAGGAGAAAATATTTGCAAACTATGCATCTCACAGAGGACTAATATCAAGAATCTATCAGAGGACTAATATCAAGAATCTATAAGAAAGTCAAACAAATCAACAAGCAAAAACCTAATAACAACCCCATTAAAAATAGACAATGGACATGAACATACACTTCTCTTAAGAAGACATACAGGTAGCCAACAAACATGAACAAATGCTCCATATCACTAATCATCAGAAAATGAAAATCAAAACCAAAATGAGATACCATCTCATACCAGTGGTATGGAAAAAATGCTCCATATCACTAATCAGAAAAATGCAAATCAAAACCACAATAAGATACTATCTCTATCTCACAACAGTCAGAGCAACTATTATGAAAAAGACAAAAAACAACAGATGCTGGTGAGGCTATGGAGAAAAGGGAATGCTTATACACTGGTGGTGGGAATGTAAAGTAATTCAGCCACTGTGTGAAGAAGCTTGGAGATTTCTCAAAGAATGTAAAATGGAATTATCATTTGACACAGCAATCCCATTACTGGGTATATACTCAAAGAAATATAAATTTTTCTACCAAAAAGACACATGCCAACAGCATGTTCGTTGCAGCAATATTCACAATAACAAGACATGGAATCAACCTAGGTGCCCATCAATGATGAACTGGATAAAGGAAGTGTGTTATGTATACACTGTAGAATACTACACAGCCATAAAAGAAAGGAAATTATGTCCTTTGCTATGAAATGAATGCAACTGGAGCCCATTACCCTAAGTAAAATAATACAAGTACATAAACCCAAATAACACATGTATTAGTCCATTTTCACACTGCTGATAAAGACATACTCAAAACTGGGCAACTTACAAAAGAAAGAAATTTAATGGACTTATGGTTCCATATGGCTGGGGAAGCCTCACAATCATGGTGCACATCACATCTTACGTGGATGGCAGCAGGCAAAGGAATAGCTTGTGCTAGGAACCTCCCCCTTATAGAACCATCAGATCTTGTGGTACTTATTCACTATCATGAGAGCAGCATGGGAAAAGCCTGCCCCCATGATTCAATTACCTTCCACCCAGTTCCCCCACAACACATGGAAATTCAAGATGAGATTTGGGTGTGGACACAGCCAAACCATATCATTCCACCCCTGGCCCCTCTCAAATCTCATGTCCTCATATTTAAAAAACAATCAAGCCTTCCCAACAGTCCCTCAAAGTTTTAACTCAAAAGTCCACAGTCCAAATTCTCATCCATGAAAACGCAAGTCCCTTCTGCCTATGAGTGTGTAAAATCAAAAGCAAGTTCGTTACTTCCTAGATACAATGGGGGAACAGGCATTCAGTAAATACAGCCATTCCAAATGGGAGACATTGGCCAAAACAAAGAGGCTACAGGCCCCATGCAAGTCTATAATCCAGCAGGGCAGTCAAATCTTAAGACTCCAAAATGATATCCTTTGACTCCATGTCTCACATCCAGGTCACACTGATGCAAGAGGTAGTTCCCATAGTCTTGGAAAGCTCTGCCCCTGTGACTTGGCAGGGTACAGCATCCCTCCCAACTGCTTTCGTGGGCTGGTGTTGAGTGTTTGTGGCTTTTCCAGGCACACAGTGAAAGCTGTCAGTGGATCTACCATTCTAAGGTCTGAAGGACTGTAACCCTCTTCTCACAGCTCCACTAGATGGTGCCCTAGTAGGGACTCTGTGTGTGGGTGCCGACCCCACATTTCCCTACCACACTGCTTTAGCAGAGGTTCTTCATGAGGGTGCTGCTCCTGCAGCAAACTTCTGCCTGGACATCCAGGCATTTCCATACATCTTCTGAAGTCTAGGCAGAGGTTTCCAAACCTCACTTACTGACTTCTGTGCACCCACAGACTCAACAACAAGTGAAAGCTACCAAGGCTTGGGGATTGCACCCTCTGAAGCCATGGCCCAAACTCTACCTTGGCCCCTTTCAGCCATGACTGGAGCAGCTGGGACACAGGGCACCAAGTCCCTAGGCAGCACTCAGCATGGGAACCCTGGGCCTGGCCCATGAAACCATTTTTCCCTCATAGGCCTCCAGGCTTGTGATAGGAGGGGCTGCCATAAAGCCTCCTGGTGTGCCCTGGAGATATTTTCCCCATTGTCTTGGTGATTAACATTTGGCTCCTAGTTAATTATGCAAATTTCTGCAGCTGGCTGAATTTCTCCTCAGAAAATGGGAATTTCTTTTCTATCAAATTGTCAGACTGCAAATTTTCAGAACTCTTATGCTCTGCTTTCCTTATAAAACTGAATGTGTTTAACAGCACCCAAGTCACATCCTGAATGCTTTGCTGCTTAGAAATTTCTTCCACCAGATACCCTAAGTCATCTCTCTAAAGTTCAAAGTACCACAAATCCCTAGAGCAGGGGAAAAGTGCCATCCGTCTCTTTGCTAAAAGATAACAAGAGTCAACTTTTCTCCAGTTCCCAACAAGTTTCTTATCTCTATCTAAGACCACCTCAGCCTGGACTTTATTGTGCATATTACTATCAGCATTTTAGTCAAAGCCATTCAACAAGTCTCTAGGGAGTTCCAAACTTTCCCACATTTTCCTGTCTTCTTCTGAGCCCTCCAAATTGTTCCAACCTCTGCCTGTCACCCAGTTCCAAAGTTGCTTCCACATTTTTGGGTATCTTTTCAGCAGCACCCCACTCTACTGGTACCAATTTACTGTATTAGTCTGTTTTCACACTGCTGATAAAGACATACCTGAGACTGGGCAATTTACAGAAGAAAGAAGCTTACTGGACTTAACAGCTCCACATGGCTGGAGAGGCCTCACAATCGTGGCAGAAGGCAAGGAGGGGCAAGTCACATCTTACGTGGATGGCAGCAGGCAGAGAGAGCTTGTGCAGGGGAACTCCTCTTTTTAAAACCATCAGATCTCATGAGACTTACCCACTATCAGGAGCACAGCATGGGAAGGTCCTGCCCCCATGATTCAATTACCTCCCACCAGGTCCTCCCACAATGCATGGGTATTCGAGATGAGATTTGTGTGGAGACACAGCCAAAGAATATCACCACATGTTCTTACTTATAAGTGAGAGCTAAACATTGGGCACTCATGAACATACATATGGCAACAACAGACACTGAGGACTACCAGAGTGGGGAGGGAGGGAGGGAGGCAAAAGTTGAAAAACTATTCAGTACCATGTTCAGGACCTGGGTGATGAGATCATTTGTACCCCAAACATCATGCAATATACCCAGGTAACATACTGCACATGTACTCCCTGAATCTAAAATAAAACTTCTAAAAAAACCATTCAAGATCTTGTAAATTAGAAGAAATTATTGGAAAAAAATGGTTTCTAAAAAGAAAATTTAATCTTTGACATTATTCAGCACTAAAAACAAGGCTGACACTGGAGAATACCAAGAGGAAAAACATGTTCACACTCCATAATAAAAGAGAATAAAATTGTTTTTTTAAAAAACTAGCTATCAAAACATTGTCATTAAGTATAATTATCAAGTAAAAACGGCTCTGAAATGTAACTGTACTCCATTCTCCTATGTAATTTCCCATAATTTATAACATCTTGTGGTTTATTGTTTTTAAAAAATCTTTAGTCTTCCAAAGATTGTTTAAGTGTAATGTTTTGTTGGGAATCATTTTGCTTAGACTGTCTCCAATGCACAAGTAGATGCAAGCAGAAGAAGGGATAGTAGGAAGGAAGGGAGAGGAAAAGAATGGAGGAGGAGGGGAGAGAAAGAGCTGAAATGTTGAAGTTGATATCTCTTTGTGTACCTAAACCTGAACTCTCAAGAAGTTCATAAAAATGTTTAAAATG
This sequence comes from Homo sapiens, assembly GCF_000001405.40. Classification (NCBI taxonomy): domain Eukaryota; kingdom Metazoa; phylum Chordata; class Mammalia; order Primates; family Hominidae; genus Homo; species Homo sapiens. The sequence continues at coordinate 92,439,630 of NC_000023.11, read as the reverse complement.
AGTCAAGCAGTGATTATTTAAATAGTTTATGTCTTTATACATAGAAAAATCTTTTAGCAAGTTTTGATTTATAAACTCAATCACTTTTTCATACTTTCCTAGATATATTTTTCAAAATTATAATGGTTTTAGTACTATATGCAAGCTGACTTGATCCACAGCCATCCAGAATAGCCGCATGGTTTGGTCATTCATTACATGGAGGAAGATCCTATGGCTCTGATTCCATCTAAGGTCTGTCCATATTCCTCCAAATTCAGGTCACATTTTGTTTTCCTTTTAAGCTTTGGCTTCCATTTCAGTATAACAGAGATCAACACAATCCAAAGTAATTGCTAGGATAATATATAAGATTAATTGTTATTATTGTAGCCCACTTGGTGTTCTTACCTTCAGAGGTATGACCCTAAAGACACTTCTTTACTACTTCTTTCTTATGACAGTTCATAAACTCAGTTTAATTACATAAATGCCATTAATTGACAATAACACCTAGGAAACCCAAATGAATTCTGGGTTACATATTTATGCATAGTCTGATATTTGTTGAAATTCCAGATGTCTCCTGTGCATTTTTCTAATACAAAAGTATTAAAAATTCTATTCATGTCTACTTCTGGTGTCATGACATATACATCCAAGTAAGTCCAAGTATATCAAGTTTACTGTGGAGGGGAGGAGAAATATCTTTTTCTCACCCATATTAATCTCATGTCTTAGGCACCATAGCAAAAGACTAACAAGAAAAAAGCATACAAATCTGTTCAGTACAACTTTCATATGACATGGGGACTGTAATAAGGAAATGAAGACCCATAAAAACAGGTAAACTTGTGTATTTTTATGCTTATGTTTGATGAAGAGTGAATAATTATGGAGAAATAAATGGACAAAGTGGGGTAGATCTAATGGTGACTGAAGGAAACTTAGCAAGACCTGCTGGTTCAACTCCTTCTCTGTGACCCTTCATCTTCAGATATAAAAATGTTCTTTTCCTCTGGGTATAAGAAGGGCACCTTTCTATTGAGTGTCTTATGACCTGCTTCAGGGAACAGTCAGAAAATCCTTCCTAGGTTTTATGGCATGCTTCAAGTAACAAGGAGAGGTGGGGAGGAGTTGAGACTGACCTTCCTGCTTCTGCTGTTTTCTCAAATTACTTCAGCTGAAAATATTCAGTATGCCAAGGTATCATATTTTGGAGTAGAATATCCTGAACTTTGTCAACCCCAATAAATGATACATAATTAACATTTTAAATTAAATTCAACAAAATAATCAATTCCCTTAATAATAACTGCTTTGAGTGAAAGCAACAGCACCGAGGGAGTTTTTAAAATCATATTGTGTGTCTTATGTTTACTAAAATACGTGCTTATGCAATATACATGCAATTTTTAAAACAATAAAAGACATCATTCAGGATACGTGTTGTCTGGTACTTTTGTCATTAGAGTAGAATTAAGGAAAGGACAATGTGTAGGCAAGGGTGCTTGACTGAGTTGAAGATGGAATATACGACTCTCAATTTACTTACAACATCAAATTTCTATAGACTCTAAAATATTGTGTTTGCTTATGTATGTCTTACTACCTATCAGATTAAGTTCAAAGCACACAACTGGCCATTTTTGGCAGCACCCAATTTTCGATGCGTTACTTAGCAGTAGGTGCATTACTTAGCAGTAGGTCCCTTATTGTTTTCAATACACTTAAATCATGCTGTCATCTGTCTTGTTACCTATAGCTGTATTTTTTAAATCTTTTTCATTATTTTCTCTGCAAGGTTTAGTCATATTAGGGCTTAAAGCAGGGTCCTTTTCCACCCTTGGGTTCATTCAGACTAATTATCAATTATCTTTTTCCCTTACAAGAATACCTTAAGGGAGAAATATATACTAGACAGCACCTAGGAAAAGTTCTGCACCTGTTGCAGGACTTCTGTTTCCATGTAAAACAGTGGGCCATTCCATGTAAGAAAGCTTTTCTTCTGCTTACTTAAGACTCAAAAGCAATAATAGTACAGTGCCAGAGCACATGATACACTTAATAGAAGTGAGTGAAATTAATTAATGAGCAGATGCTAAGTTTAAAGAGAGAAGGAAGGGGACATATGGACAATTTAAAAATTATAGTCATATTTGGTTTTCTGTTATAAGGTCAATTATGTATTTAAGTAAGGTAATTTATCCTTCATTATCAGTATCTGACTTTTCAAAATTACATTTTAAATATCTTGCTTATCTTAGTAGAGATCCACTGAAGCTCAGACTATAAAATTTTACCAACATCTCTAGAAAAGATATAAAATTTTACTAAAATCATTATTTGGTTATCTTTAGTTAGAATTATAAACAGAATCCTGACTTCCTATTTTGAGTGGTTAAACTAATTCCTGTTCTGTATGTTAAACTTCAGCCTTAATACAAACCATACACACATATGCACATCTACTATCCTTGCCACTTCATATTTTCATTTTCAAATTTTTGTGCGTACAGAGTAGGTGTATATATTTATGGGATACATGAGATGTTTTGATACAGGCATGCAACACATAATAATCACATCATGGAGAAACGGGTATCCATCCCCTCAATCATTTATCTATCCTTTGTGTTACAAACAATCAAATTACATTCTTTTTTTTTTTTTTTTTTACCTTTTATTTTAGGTTGGAATACATGTGCAGGTTTGTTATATAGGTAAACTCGTGTCATGGAAGTTTGCTGTACAGATTATTTTGTCGCCCAGGTACTAAACCTAGTACTCAATAGTTATTATTTCTGCTCCTCTCCCTCCTCCAAAACTCCACCCTCAAGGAGGCCCCCTTTGTCTGTTGTTTCTTTCTTTGTTCATGAGTTCTCATCATTTAGTTCCCATTTATACGTGAGAACATGTTGTATTTGGTTTTCTGTACCTGCATTAGTTTGCTAAGGATAATGGCCTCCAGCTTTATCCATGTGCCCACAAAGGACATGATCTCATTATTTGTATGACTGCATAATATTTCATGTGTGCCACGTTTTCTTTATCCAATCTGTCATTGATGGGCATTTAGCTTGATTCCATGTCTTTACTATTGTGAATAGTGCTGCAGTGAACATTTGTGTGCATGTTTCTCTATGTTAGAATGATTTTTATTCCTCTGGGTATACACCCAGTAATGGGATTGCTGCGTTAAATAGTAGTTCTGTTTTTAACTCTTTGAGGAATTTCATACTGCTTTCCATAATGGTTGAACTAATTTATACTTTCACTAACAGTGTATAAGTGTTCCCTTTTTTTCCATAACCTCACCAGCATCTGTTATTTTTTGACTTTTTAATAAAAGCCATTTTGACTGGTGTGACATGGTATCTCATTGCGGTTTTGATTTGCATTTCTCTAATGATTAATGATATTGAGATTTTTTTCATATGCCTGCTGGCCACATGTATGTCTTTTTTAGAAAAGTGTCTGTTCATGCCCTTTGCCCACTTTTTCATGGGGTTGTTTGTTTTTTTCTTATAAATTCGTTTAAGTTCCTTATAGATGCTGGATATTAGCCCTTTGTTGAATGCACAGTTTGCAAAAAATAATTTAATCTGTGGGTTGTCTGTTTACTCTGTTGACAGTTTCTTTTGCTATGCAGGAGCTTGTCACTCAGTGCCTTTTAAGTGGGATATTTAGCCAATTTACATTCAATGTTGGTATTGATATGTGTGCGTTTGGTCCTGTAATTGTGTTATTAGCTGGTTATTATGCTGGCTTGTTTGTGTGATTGTTTTATAGTGTCACTGGTCTGTGTATTTAAGTGTGTTTTTATATAGGCTGGTAGCAGTCTTTCCTTTCTATATTTAGTGCTCCTTCAAGATCTCTTATAAGACAGGTCTGGTGGTAATGAACTCCCTCAACATTTGCTTATCTTAAAAGGACCTTATTTCTCCTTCCCTTAGGAAGCTTAGTTTGGCTGCATATGAAAATGTTGGTTGAATTTGTTTGTTTGTTTGTTTAAGAATGTTGAATATAGGCCCCCAATCTCTTCTGGCTTGCAGGATTTCAGCTGAGAAGTCTGCTGTTAGCCAGAAAGGATTCTCTTTGTAGATGATCTGCCCCTTCTCTCTAGCTGCCATTCTTTCTTTCATTTTGACCTCAGAAATTTTGATGATTATGTTTCTTGGGGATGATCTTCTTGTGTCTGATTTTTTAGGGGTTCTCTGTATTTCCTGAATTTGACTGTTGGCCTCTCTAGCAATATTGGGGAAATTTTTATGAATGATAGCCTGAAATATGTTTTCAAAGTTGTTTGCTTTCTCCCCATACCTTTCAGGGATGTCAATGATTAGTAGATTTGGCCTCTGTACATATGCCCATATTTCTCAGAGATTTTGTCCATTCCTTTTTATTCTTTTTTTTTCTTAATTTTGTCTAATTGTCTTATTTTGGAGAGCCAGTCTTCAAGATTTGAGATTATTTCCTCATCTTGGTCTATTCTGCTGTTATTCCACTATTTCGGCTTTCAACTCCTGTATCATTTTATTATGATTCTTAGTTTTCCTGGACTTGGTTTTGCCATTCTCCTGAATCTCAGTGATCTTTGTTCTTATCCATATTCTCAATTCTATGTCTGTCACTTCAGCCAGCTAAGCTTGGTTAAGAGCCCTTCTTAGAGAACTGGTGCAGTCATTCATGGACATATGACACTGGCCATTTGAGTTACCAGGGTTCTTGTGTTGGTTCTTCCTCATTTGTGTGTGTGGGTGTTCCTTTAACTTCAGTGTAGATTGAGTCGATAGACTTCTTTTCTGGATGTTTTCTGCCATGATTGTGAGGCCTCCCCAGCCATGTGGAACTGTGAGTCCATTAAACTTCTCTTTCTTTATAAATTCCCCAGTCTCAGGTATGTCTTTTTCAGGGGCATGAAAACGGACTAATACATCTGTCTCTACAAAGAATAATAATGATAAAAAAAAAATTAGCTACTTGAGAGGCTGTGGCAGAAGGACCTCTTAAGCCCAGGAGTTGGAGGGTACTGTGAGCTATGATCATGTTACTGCACTCCGACCTAGGTGACCAGTCAAGTCCTTGTCTCTTAAAAAGAAAAGAAAATTTAAATTTTGAGTGTGGCTCTACGTCATTACTTAAGGTATTCATTAAGTGAATATACGTTTTTAAAAATTCACTCTTCTTCTTTACCCTATAAATTTAATTCATTATGAGTAAACATATTTAACATAGTCTGCCAGAGACTGATACTTACATTTTGTCTTTTCTTCTCTTAAGCTATGTCAATGAAAAAAGTAGTATCATGTAATTATAGAATCTTGCTAAGATTAGTGAAAAATATGTTTGATAGTTATGAAAGGTAGTTCATTTGTGTTCTTTTCATTAAGCTTCTTTTTGTTAAACCAAGTGTTAAACAGCATATGGGTAAATGGCAAAAGTCTTTGCACACTATGGCATGAATGTACAAATAGAAAATCTGTTAAATAGGAAGATAGATAAATAGATAGATAGATAGATGATAGATAGATAGATAAAATTTAGGTTAAAATACATCTATAGGGATCTTGTGCTTATGCTTTGTGATCTTAGAAGATGAAAAAATAATATAATGGACCTCACCTTGAATTGTAATAATCCCCCTTGGATCCCAAGTAAGTAGCTTACTCTAGGCAAAGTGAGTTTGCTTTTGGTATTCTGCTTATAGGAAGGCTACTGTGTGTTCAGAACCTTTTCACACTGCTTCACAAGTCACATCACTAATGCTTTTTGATTATGAAAGGACAGGCACGTGTCCATTTGCTCCCATACTGTAAGTCTTGATATATCAACAAAAACGAAGACAAGAACAATAGTTATCATTACTGTTCAAGTAAAAGACCTCAAGCACTATTCAAGGAGCTTTACATACATTATATCATTTGTCCTGCACATCTACCCTCTGTTATATCCATTTTATAGGAAAATCAGGATTCACTTTCAGGACTGATTCCAACCTCATGTTTTTTACACTATTCTACACTAAGGGTCATTTTTGTAATCAATTACAAGTCCCATAACACTGACATTTTGGCAACACCATGTCAACTTTACTCTTCACACAGATGTTCTCAGAGCATAAAATCTAAGAGAAAGGAATAGAGCATATGGGACCTCTTCCAGCTGCCTTTCATCTCCTTCATATGTTCAGAAGACTTTCTGTTAATAATCCTAAAGGGTGAGTGATCCACACTGTGAGTGTAGGCCACAAGAATATGTTTCCAAAATGTTGGAGCAACCAGGAAAGAAGGTTGAACACTGTTTAATATTACTATCACTGCAAATAATAGGAATTATTTATATGCTAACTATTCATTTCCTCACTATATTTATTTGCTGGGTCAGGCTCAATGCAGGAACAAGATACTGAAGCTTTAAAACAGCAAATGATTTATAAAACTTTTTTTGAATAAGTTTATTGTTGACTTATAGTCCCTAGTAGCAATTACAATAATAGCTCTTTAAAAACAAAGACACAAAAAGCAAAACGAACAACAAAAAACACCACTATGAATCCCCCCTTCACCACTTTCTATTGCAGAAACTAAGGTAGTTCATTTATTGTCTATTCCTTGTTAAACTAAACTACATTAGCCAAGTCCAGATTTATATTAATGGATTTACAGTATGCTTTGGAGTAATACAACATGACTTTCTATATCTCAACCAAAATTGTATTGAAGATGATTTAGCTCACAAATAAGTTTTAATTGATTTAAAACATAAAAATAAAAAATATAAATTTTGAAAACTTATGAAAGTTTGTTCACTAGGTTTTCCTGTGGATTTTGTTAATGATTCAGAGCTCTAATTATAAAACTTCATAGCCAGTAGTAAAAACACAATTGTAATGATGCTATCAATATACTGAGTGGTTATTTTTGTCAAAAATATATTTTAACTTTATTTAGCTATCATATATGTGAACAAATAAATATCTACCCTCCCTCCCCCTTTTTAACAGAGTGCCCATGGAAATCACAGTTATTTTCTGGTAGAATTTATTTAGCAACTATTTTCCATACATACACTACAAGTATTTACTCAACTCCTACTTGATATGAAACACTGAACTACCTACCATGGGAAATGCAGCCAAATAAAGAAGGCATTTTGAGCCACATAACATTTATTCATCCATAGGATGAAATTTTTCAATTTTGAAGAGGTGGTTTTGATGTCACTCATATCTTGTAATATCATACGCTGGAGAATAAAACTTTAAAATGCAAAGCTATCTTTAAATATATTTTATAAAGTAAAATTAGATGTGCATAACCTAATTTATGAAATCTTTTAATCTAATCTAAATGGTATTTCTGTTGAAAGCTACCAATATAAATATACAGATGGTTGTAGAAATTACTAATCATTAGAAACTTTAAGAGAATGGTGCCATATTATTTGGAATCATTTAAAAAGTTTTAAATGACAATGCAATTTTAAAAGACCATGAAATGAAGGCTGCAAAGGAAGAAAAAAGAAAATAACAAGGGCAATACTGGTAATAAAAATGCAAAAGGATCATTAACTACGATAAAATGGTCAATTCATTATTACTGTTTGAGGAATCCTTTTATTCATATTTCTTGGGTGGTGCGTTTCTGAGGCAATCAAATGTTAAGTAAATGTATTGTCAGATCATTTTGTCCTTTATATTAAAATATGTAAAAATTACTAGGTTAATGAAAATTTAATTGCCAAGTTAGAAGTAGTATTTCCTTTACAGTGTTTCTTTAAAGGGAATTTAAAATTTGTTTAAGATTTTAACCTTGTCTAAGTTGTCAGAGGAGTAAAAAAAAGATGAGCTTCTAGATATAAGCTCATTAATTTCTATATGGATGATACACAGAGAGATAATTCAGTTTTTTAGCAATATGTAGCTTCCGAAATTCTTGCCTTGATCCTATATTGTAAGGTGGAGAATTTCAGGTAGAGAATTTATTCTCATCTCATGTGAAGATAATCTGATTAAGATTACTGAGGTTTGAATTAATAGGTATCTTAGACATGATATAGAATAATAGAAATACTCCCATTTCTCCCTCCCCACCCACTCCAAAATAATAGCTTCAGTTTCTGCACATTTTCAAATGCTTTGATTACTTGTAACTACATTTTTCCCCTTACCTCCTTATACGTGTGAGTAAACTTGTCAAAAACAAAAATTGAGTTCTATTTTAAGTCTTAAACTCCAGTGCAATTTTGTAAGTCCTTCATACTTCCTTTGTATAATAGTGTTAATTCAAACACAGCATTATCATCTAGGGAAAAAAATACCCCTTTTCAAAATACAACTATGAAAAGAGTCAGATATCTTCAATGGAAAGTTCCTGTCTACAAATAAATTTCATAAATGTATTACTACTACCACACAAAATATCAATTCATTTTCTTCACAAGTATGGAGACTTACAGGTATTAAAGAAAATATGGAGACAATTTACTGTTTTCAATTACAACTTGAAGGAGACTGTTAGAAATCCTGCACTTTTCATTTCCAAGAGACAATATTATATAGTAAAGTTGAGGTAAGCTTTCTTTTACATTTCATCTTTTAAAAAAAGAAAAGGAAGAATGCCTCCTGCAGGTAAAGCTGCACTTTGTAAACTGATTAGAAGAATAAGTAAAATGAAATTCACTTTAGCTTGTAATTCAACCATTAGTTTCTATCACAGATGAGCTTTCAAACTCAAAGTTTTGAGAATTAAAAGATGTATTCTCTCAATAAAACTATAAAACATATGCTACCATGCATTACAGATGGTTGCAAACAGAGTTGTAAACCTGATTTATTTTTATTTATGTGCTATATATAGTGCTGCCTCTGCCATCACCTTACTGCCTCATAACAATGAACCACATATGACAAACTGCAGTATGATTACAGTAAGTTGTATTTTCATAATATTTGTAAGACCTATTTTAAACCAATCTTCCACAACAGAAATGACATAATTTTGTTCCTCTGAGGCTTTTTAATATATTTTCTAACACATAATTGACTATGGATTTATGACTGATCTCATGGAGGTTGCAAATTATTGTCAGAGAAATGGTCAAAGTTCAACCACATAGCCAATACATTTACAGCCACTGAAAAGAACAAATTACCTGAAACCAAGTTGTTCTATTGGCCAAGGTAGCTCACCCTTGGACATAATTAGTGAAAAACATTGACATTATCAGAGAAAGTAAACACCATAAAGTAAAATTCATAAACTGCTCAATTGAAATTGGAAAATTAATATTTTAATCAAGCAACTGTGCCAAACTTCTGAACAAACACGTAATCAATTGCCATGGGAAATTGCATAGTATTAATTCTTAACAGTTATTTTTCAAATTACATACTTTTGTTCTGAATTTTGTCTAGCATTATCTCCATCCTACAGATAAAAATAGAGTACAAAAGTTCAAAAATGGAATCAGAACAGAAATATTACGCATATTAAGATGAACTGTCACAAAATTTTACAAGAAGTCCTGAAGTTCGGTAAAATGTTATTTAAATGATATTTTCACAGTGGGTGAAATCCTAAAGAAGCTTGCAATACAATAAGCTCAAGTTTATTAATTTTAACCCTGGGAAAGTAGTCATTGATAACTGTTCTCCAATGACATTTAAAGCAGATGACAAGGCTCATGTTCTCATATGGAGCATAGTTCATGCTTGTACACAGACAGAATCTCCCAAGACTCAGAGCGCTTATTTCTCTGTTGTTTAACAACATACTAGAAGTTTTAAGAAAACTTATATTGGAAGAAAAGTTATCAATTACTTCTAAACCTTTTCTCCTTATCAACAAACCTGAATGCATTACTATTACCTGTCAGTGAGGCTCACTAGGCAGCAATTCTCAACAAGGCTATGCATGGCACCGCTATGGGCTTCAGAGAATCAGGGTAGTAAGGAGGTGTAATTTTTAAGAGCCCATTATTTGTCATGATATACATCCCCCATAGGAGCACTCCCACCCACTCACCCTCCTTGAAAATCAAGGGTCTCTCTTCCCCTCATAAGGCACAGCATACTACGAGAAGGGCCTGAATACAAAAGCAATGAAAACACTACCTGTCCTAGCTTTTCGTTAGCTGGGGGTGGATTATTATTTTAAAATTTCACTCCTTGACCTTGGCTTTCAAAGATGGCCCATTTAATTCCTGAAGGGTATGTATGGCAGATACTAGTAACCAACAACAAAATTACCTGTGACATTAATGATCAGGGTGCTAGCTGTCTCATCTGTGCTATCTGGTCAGTGTGGTTCTGTAGGAGACACAGATTTCTCAAACTGTTTATTTTTATAGGCCAATTGAGAGCATAACAACTGTAATTTGCTTATCTTAGTTTGCGTCCTATGTTCTCAGGAGTTTATTTTCAAATACTGTTGGATTTCTCATTGGTCAAGGTAGGCTTTATGATACAGGTAGAAGGGGAAAGCCACTTATATTCTGAGTTAACTTCTCCTAAATAAATCCAACGGCTATTTATGCTAGCTCCAGTTATTGACCACTGCCAAGAAAATTAGTTATCATTTTCCCTATAAGTTAGCATTTTATTTTTCACAAAAAAATGCAGGTCCAAAAAAACCAGCTTTGAGGCATCTAGAATGGATTTGGTCACATTGAGGCATCACATCTGGTACAGGACATAGTCCATTCAGTAACCTTGATAGAGTGGTATCTGGTCTCTATGAAGTGTTATCCCCTCTTGCTTTATTGAAAGTCAGAGTATATGGGTTTATCTGCTCCGTATTCACCCTACCATATTTGTCACAAAAGCTCTCTTGCTCTGAAGAGATGGTGAAATTATAAATTTCCAGGTGTTTTGACAGTTGTGGTACAGGCTGGATTTATTTAGTCATATTAAGTATATCATCTAGGAAGCTAAAAGGCTAGATTTTCAGATAGCACAACCATACTAGCATGATCACTGAAAGAAAATAAGTAAGTAAATGTACAAGAGTTTGCTATAATATAAAAAGAAAGAAAGAAAGAAAAAGAAATTGCACTTTTATAAATATACATGAATAAAGCTCATGGAGTGCTAGCCATTCAACCACCTGTCCTATCTGTAGCTGGAAGGGGCCATGGCATGAAGTGTTATAAAAGAGTTTTGCCTGGAATATCAAAGACACAGAAGGAAATAAAGAGGGACACCGGAAAAGGGCAATGATGACAACAGGTACTTTTGCCTTGCACATGCTCCTGCCTTACTCTATTATCTTCAAGCAATAAAGCCAGGAAGGGAAAAATTTACTCTCACCTTGGTGGGACGGAAGAGAGAATAACACACAGCAAGGAAAACAGAAGGCAAAACACAAGAATGTGTACAAAGCAATCAACTGCTACATCACTCAGCCTGTTATGGACACAGTTGCACAGTTCAATTTATGCTAATACGTGCTATCAATTTCGAGAGAAAATTCATTGTCATTTCATTTTGATGCACACATATATTCTGCAAGAGTTTTATTATGATTCTGAATATAACACCTGAAAGAGATGCTGCGCTATCATTTGTACACTTGTATGAGAAATTACAATGACACTAGTAGATTAGATGCTCATTTGAAGCTCATAAATAAAATTTTCCATATCTCTTTTAGTAAAACCCATTTCAAGAGTACAGTTAAACACTCTAATAGCAAGCTCAATCAATTCTATTACAATTATTAAAAGAATTGGATTTCTTAGGATGGAGTATGGACATATGCCATACATAATATAATTTAGACTATGCAAATATAATATAATTTAGATTATATGTCATGTCTTCATTTATTGGTGATTTCACTAACTACATGTTATGTTAACCAGCACCATAATACTTCATAGGTCCTACTTTTAGCTAATTTCTGAAACAATGAATATTATTATATTTATGAGTTTTCAGAAAAATATTTTCCATTGGAAGAGTGTTATTACTGGTACTAATAGCAATAATGGCAATAAAATAATTAACGGTTATGAGAAGTTATACTATACCAAGTGTACCATGTACAGCTATCAATTACTTTACAAAATAAGCATTATTATCACCCTTATATTTTAGATTAGCAAACTAAGGATCAGAGGTGTTAAATCATTTGCAAACTTTAAAAAACTAGTAACTATGAAAAATAGAATTTAAAACTGTGCCTGTCTGCACTCATATGACACTAAACTTTTGCTATATTGGTCAATAGCCCACAGAAAAGTGAAACCTCGGAACATGATTAATCTGAAGTTCATTAAATAAATCTTGATTTATTTAGTAAAGCATGGTTACTGTTATTGCTTTCTGTCCCAGGATACAATATTAGAGGTTATTTTTTAAACTAGAAAAAATTTGGAAACTTAATGCTTTTAGAATTATGTCTTCCAAATGGTTTTAGGTATGTGTGTGCATGTGCATAGGCATGAAGGTAAATAATTATAGGGGAAGCTACTAAAATAATTCTCCTTTCTCAACTTTCTCCCACTTCACTAACACTTAAGTTTTCCTTTCTTAAAGAAGAGGAAAATTTTTTTATAAAGCTGAAACTGGAGGAAGGAGAAAAGAAGGGAAAGAAGGAAAGGAGAAAGGCAGGGAGTGAAGGGGAGGATAGAGGAAAGAAGATAATGCAACGTTTTCTGCATATGTTTCAATTGCTTCTCTAACATAATTCTCAATAGTAAAGTGGCAATAGTACTGAACACCACAGAATACCAAACATTGTCCAAATTAGTTGGGCTACCTTGGGCAGGTCATTATATACTTTGCATCTAAATTGCTATGTTTATAAAGGAAGAACATTGGATAAAATCAACTCCAAGGTCCCTTTCGAATAAAATTATACTATTTCCTCTAGTATTTTCAGCTTAGATTATGAGATACCATATTATTTTTAAAGGGCTTATTAAAAATATGCAATACCCTGTTTTTGCCATTTCATCATATTTTCAAATTCATGAATATAAATGTTTTATTTTAATAATTTCCTAAAATAGTATTATTTTATGCAACAATAAGCATTGATATTAGTTATTATATTGTTAAAATTGTGCCTTTATATTATTCATTATCTTTGTTTTTGTCATCTAAATGAAAACATAGTTCGATGCAAATTTTTCCTTAATTTGAAACACACATATCAGTCCTAAAAATGTAGTCCAAAAATAATGCAGGACAAATTGTTATTACAATATTCATGACATTGATGAAAATACATTTCTTAGTCAACTCTGGTTGCTCTCTTTCTCTACCTTGCATTGTTTTTTAAAGACAGGACAGTAATGTTTCAAATTGCTTGCAGCAATGCCTGAAGTCTAGAACTACTGAAATGTCCTTAGCTCTGTAAATACTATTTACGCTCTATTTATTAAGAGCAGAACATTTTGGTCAATTCTATTATACTTTGAGGTTAATAGGTATCTATTGATTGTCTAATAGCTTAATAGTAACAAAAAAATACAGTGGCTGAAAGAACCAGCATATTAATAACATTTTTAATCCAAATGCAATCTATGTTTGTTCGCCGAAAAATATTTCCTTGAACTCATACAATTTCTCTGCTCCCCTTTCCATCTTGAACCTACTAGATCCAGACTTTCACTTCCAATATTACACTGAAAATTCTCTTATCAAGGTCACAAATAACCCTCTGTGGTGCTAAAATCAAATAGTTATTTGTCAGATCTAATTTTACTTCACAGATCTCATTTTCTAGACTCTACATTTGACATTGTTGATCATGCTTCTCCTTTCTTGAAATAGCTTCTCATGTGACTTCTGATCTGCCATTGGTTTAGTTTTTCACTTACATCATACTAACCTCTTCTCAGTCTACTTAGCTGATTTCTTCTTACCTCCTCTATTTCTAAAAGTTGAAATATCTTAGGATCAATACCCAGACTTTTCATCTTCTCCATCTGTACTCGTACCCTAAGTGATCTCATCCCTTCTTATGGTTTAAAACCCCATTTGTATACTCTTTATTCCAAGCCAACACATCTCTCCTAAAATACAGCCCTGTATATCTAAATGTCTACATAACACTTCTATTTACATGAGAAAAAGGCACGACAAACCCAATCTTCCCCTGCAACCTTTTCTTCTAAACTCCAAACTTTCTTCTTCCCAAGTCTTCACCGTCTCTAATTTGAAAAATGCAAACTTCTATTTTCTTAGGTGAAAAAAAATGGAGTCACCTTTGATTCCTTCATTATTATTAAAGAAGGATACACACATATCACACATACAATATATTAGGGAACTTTGTTGGCTGTATCTTCAAAACACATCTATAATCTGACAAATATCTGCCACATCTACTGCTACGATCCTTGTATAAACTGTAATTCACCTACATTATTTCAAAAGCTTTCTAAGTAGTCTCCTTCTTTTTGCTCCAGTCCAATTTATTGTTTTCCCAATAGCAATCAAGTTGTCCATCTTAAAACATACATTAGATCATGCCACTTCTTTGCTCAAAATCTTCCTATAAGAGTGATCTCAGACTCTCTTTTTTATGCTGATAACGACAGTTTGTCCCAGGAGCCACTGCTGAAATCAGTTTGCAGTTTCTCCAACACTTCTAGAACCAGCCAGATTACACTTCCCTCACAGATACCACTACCAGTTAGCCAGCATCTGCTTCTCAAAGGTTTGGGTCTCAAGCCCAGAGAAACCTCCTCTGTGCTCATAAACATAAGCACCAGCTGAGGTGCCCCTCATGTTTGGAGGGTTGCAGTTCTGTCCAAAATGTAGTAAGCCCAGTATAGCCCATATATACCACTTGTTATAACTAAAATCTCTGGAAAATATACAAAAGGCAACTACCCGAGGACTCTGAAAGGTAAACAAAAGGAAGGCAGGTTTAGAAAAAGAGTCAAAACATAGAGAAGCAACACACTCAGGGATGAGTTTCCTCATACATTTTTCCCTTTGTCTCACAGATTTGTCCATAATGTAAGCTCCCTTTGCAAAGCTCGACAGAGGTATAGAGCTGACAGCTAGAACTTCAGTTGAAAATGCATAGAGGAACCAGAAAAGAGTCAGAGAATGTAGCAGCAGTCCTAGAAACAGAAATGTTAACTAAAGGGACTCCATAATTCTATGTGAACCCACACAAATCCCAGGTTCCCCTACGAACTGCACGAGCCAGAGAGAGACCCAAAGCAGGATAGTAAGGGGTTTTGAAACCTGAACTATGATATAACCTAAAACCTGAACTTCAGATTATCCCCTGAATCATGCATGTACTGGATTAATCTAGACATCATAGGAAAGCCTTTAAAAATTTAACAGATACTAGAACAACTGCCGGTTAAACAAATAAAGAAAAAAATCAGCATTATCCAGATGATTAAAATAGAACCCAGAGGCTATACTATATAACATTTAACATAAAAACACTCAGGAAAATATGAGAGATTCTCAAGGGAAAAAAAAAAAAAAACATTTGCCAATAGAAATTCTGTGTTCCTGCTGAGAGAAATCACAGACAACACAAACAAATTCCACACTTATGAATGGATAGAATCAATATTGTGAAAGGTACCATGCTGCCAAAAGCAATCTACAAATTCAATACAATTCCCATCAGATTCCACCCTCATTCTTCACAGAACTAGAAAAAACAATCCCCCAGTTCATACATGAAACCAAAAAAGAGCCCGCATAGCCAAAGCAAGTCTAAGCAAAAAGTACAAATCTGGAGGCATCATATTACCTGACTTTATACTATAAGGCCATAATCACCAAAACAGCATGGTACAGGTATAAAAATAGGCACATAGACAAATGGAACAGAATAGAGAACCCAGAAATAAACCCAAATACTTACAGCCAACTGATCTTTGACAAAGCAAACAAAAACATAAAGTGGCGAAAGTATACCCTATTCAACAAATGGTACTGGGATAATTGGCAAGCCACATGTAGAAGAATGAAACTGGATCCTCATCTCTCACTTTTTATAAAAATCAACTTAAGATGCAACAAGGACTTAAATCTAAGACCTGAAACTATAAAAATTCTGCAAGATAACATTGGAAAAACCCTTCTAGACATTGGCTTAGGCAAACACTTCATGACCTAGAACCCAAAAGCAAATGCAACAAAAACAAAGATAAATAGGTGAGATTTAATTAAACTGAAGAGCTTCTGCACAGCAAAGGAAACAATCAGCAGAGTAAACAGACAACCCTCAGAGTGGAAGAAAATCTTTGCAATCTATACACCTGACAAAAGACTAATGTCCAGAATCTACAAGGAACTCAAACGAATTAACAGAAAAAAACAAAACAAAACAAAAACAATCCTATCAAAAAGTGGGCTAAGTACATGAATGGACAATTCTCAAAAGAAGATAAACAAATGGCCGACAAACATGAAAAAAGCCTCAACATCACTAATTATCAAGGAAATGCAAATCAAAACTACAGTGCAATACCACCTTACTCCTGCAAGAATTGCCATAATAAAAAAATCAGGCTGGGCGCGGTGGCTCAAGCCTGTAATCCCAGCACTTTGGGAGGCTGAGGCGGGCAGATCACGAGGTCAGGAGATCAAGACCATCCTGGCTAACATGGTGAAATCCCGTCTCTACTAGAAATACAAAAATAATTAGCCGGGCCTTGTGGCGGGTGCCTGTAGTCCCAGCTACTTGGGAGGCTGAGGCAGGAGAATGGCGTGAACCTGGGAGGCAGAGTTTGCAGTGAGCCGATATCGTGCCACTGCACTCCAGCCTGGGCAATAGAGTGAGACTCCGTCTCAAAAAATAAAGAAATAAAGAAATAAATAAAATAAAAAATAAAAAAAATAGACGTTGGCGTGGATGTGGTGAAAAGGGAACACTTTTACATGGTTGGTGGGAGTGTAAACTAGTACAACCACTATGGAAAACATTGTGCAGATTCCTTAAAAAACTAAAAGTAGAAATATCATTTGATCCAGCAATCCCACTACCGAATATCTACCCAGAGGAAAATAAGTCATTATACGAAAAAAATACTTGCACACGCATGTTCATAGCAGCACAATTTGCGATTTCAAAAATATATAACCAACTCAAATGCCCATCAATCAACCAGTGAATAAATAAATTGTGTTTTATACCATGGAATACTATTCAGCCATAAAAAGGAATGATATAATCACATTTGCAGCAATCAGGATGGAATTGGAGATCATTATTCTAAGTAAAGTAACTCAGGAATAGAAAACCAAATATCATATTTTCTCACTCATAACTGGGAGCTAAGCTATGAGGATGCAAAGGCATAAGAATGATACAATGGACCCTGGGGACTCAGGAGAAAGGGTGGGAGGGGAGTGAGGGATAAAAGACTACAAATTTGGTACAGTGTACACTGCTGGGGTGATGTGTGTACCAAAATCTCAGAAATCATCACTAAAAATCTTATCCATGTAACTGAAAACTACCTGTTCCCCAAAAACCTCTGGAAATAAAATGTGAAATAAAATTTAAAAAAAAAAAAAAAAAAGAAAAGAAATTCTACGGGTTCATTTATTTCACTGAGCCGGTATATAACAGCTGCTTAAAATCACTGTCTAATAAGTAGACATTCTATTTCTTTCACAGAAGTAGAAACTATAAGATAATCAAATAAAAATTTTAGAACTGAAAATTCAATATCTAAAATAAACAATTCCAAAGGTCTAATATCCAGAATCTATAAGGAATTTAAACAAATTAACAAGCAAAAAACAAACAACTCCATTAAAAAGTGGGCAAAGTACTTGAACAAATACTTTTCAAAATAAGACATACGTGTGACCTACAAGCACAATATGAAAAATGCTCAGCATCACTGATCATTAGAGAAATGCAAATCAAAACCGCAATGAGATACTCACAATGTTGTGGAGAAGAGGGAAGAGTTACATATTGTTAGTCGGAATATAAATTAGTTCAGCCATGTGGAAAGCAGTGTGGGGACTTCTCAAATAACTTAAAGTAGAATTACCGTTTGACCCAGCAGTCTCATCATTGGGTATATACCTAAAGGAATGTAAATCGTTCTGCCATAAAGACATATGCAAGTGTATGTTCATTGCAGCATTATTCACAATAGCAAAGACATGGAACCAACGTAAATGCCCATCAATGGAACACCAGATAAAAATACGTAGTGCCTATACACAATGGAATACTATGTAGCAATAAAAAGAGAATGAGATCATGTTCTTTGCAGAAACGTAAATAAAGCTGGAGGCCATTATCTTAAGCAAACTAACACAGAAACAGAAAACCAAATACCACATGTTCTCACTATAAGTGGGAGCTAAACTTTGAGTACATATGGACACAAAGAAAGGAACAATAGACACTAGGGTCTATTTGATGGTGGAGAGTGAGGAGGCTAAGGAGAGAAAAACTACCTATTGGATACTATGCTTTTACTTGGGTGACAAAATAATCTGTATACCAAGGCCCCATGGCATGCAATATACCTGTATAACATGTGCCCCTGAACTTAAAAGTTAAAAAACAAAACACAGATAAATAAACTATTCACATAATATGATCATGTGATTGAGAGCAGAACGGAGATGACAGAGGCAAGAGTCAATGAACTTGAAGACAGATCAATAACAATTATCCAATCTGAAGAACAGAGAGAGAAGAAAGATTGAAAAAAGACTGAGAAGAGCTTCAGGAAACAGTGGGAAAATCTCAGAAGTTTTAAAATAAATGTCTTTGAAGTCTCAGGAAGAAGAAAAAGTGATTGCTCCATAAAAAAAATGTGAAGAAATTAGGACCAAAAACTTCCAGATTTGATGAGAAACAAAATTACATATTCATTAGCTCAGCAACCCCCAACCATGATAAACTCAAAGAAATCAATGCCCAGATACACCACAATCAAGCTTCTAACAATAGAGAAAGAAAATATTAAGTAGCTAGAGAAAAATAATTCATTATAATTAATGGAACAATAATTTGAATTACCAATGTTCTCTCATTAAAAGCCATGAAGGCCAGAAAATAGTGAGATGGTATCTTAAAATGATGAAAGAAAGCAACTAACTGCTAATGTAAAACTTTATATCCATTAAATATCCATTAAAAACCCTCCTTGGGATGAAGGATAAAGAAAGGCATTCGTAGATGAAGGGAAACTCACAGAACTCATTGCCGAA
Organism: Homo sapiens; assembly: GCF_000001405.40. Lineage (NCBI taxonomy): Eukaryota > Metazoa > Chordata > Mammalia > Primates > Hominidae > Homo > Homo sapiens. The sequence goes on along the minus strand of NC_000023.11, from coordinate 92,420,474 downwards.
AGATCTCAGGCTGAAGGAAAATTACATGAAGTTGAATTTATTAAATCTCGTTCTTAAGAGAAAAAATTAAATATTCAATTTCATTGTTGTAACTAATAAAAAGTTGATTTGAAGGCCTGTAGGAAAAAATTTCAGGAATAAAGTAAGAGAAAGATGAATAATAAAAAATGGGTAATACAAAACTAAATTTTCTTTTCTTAAATTCCTTAAATTATGTATGATCATTGCAATCAGTGTACATAGTTGTAACCCATATGACAACTATAACAAAAAGGTTTGTGGGAAAAGATAAACTCCATGGTAAAACTTCCACATTTTTACTATGGTAGTAAAATATAACTCTGAGTAAACTGTGAAAGGTTAGGTATGTATATTATCAGGCCTAGCGCAAGCACTAAGAAATAATACAGGAGACATAGTCAGAGGTCAACAGATATATTAAAGTGGAATATGAAAAACAAATCCAAAGAATTCAAAAGAAAAGGGGGAGAGAGAGGCTGGGCGTGGTGGCTCACGCCTGTAATTCTAACATTTTGGGAAGCTGAGGCGGGTGGATCACGAGGTCAGGAGATCAAGACCACCTGGGCTAAAACGGTGAAACCCCGTCTCTACTAAAAATACAAAAAAATTAGCTGGGTATGGTGGCGCGCGCCTGTAGTCCCAGCTACTCAGGAGGCTGAGGCAGGAGAATTGCTTGAACCTGGGAGGCAGAGGTTGCAGTGAGCTGAGATGGTGCCACTGCACTCCAGCCTGGGCGACAGAGCGAGAATCATCTCAAAAAAAAAAAAAAAAAAAAAAAAAAAAAGGGTGGAGGGAGGGGAGAGAGAAACAGAAAAGAGAAGGGACAAATAGGAAACACCTATTAAAATGGTAGAATTAAATCCAATAACATCAATAAATACATGAAAATAAATAGGTATAGCACATGTATTTTAAGATTTTCAGGTTGGATTAAAAAAACAAAATGAAACAAAAAAAACAAAGCCCAACTATGTCCGTCAACAAAAAAGCTGCTTTAGCTAGAAAGACCTAGGTAGGATAAAAGTTAAGATAGCTAGCCAGGTGCAGCAGTGCACACCTGCAGTCCCAGCTATTTGGGAAGCTGAGGTAGGAGAATCTCTTGAGCCCTGGAGTTTGAGCCAGCTGGGGCAACGTAACAAGACCTTGTCTCTAAGAAAAAAAAAGACAAAAAAAAAAAAGAACAAAAAAACAGAAAACAGACATACAAAAAAGCTAAAAGATGGAAAAAGATATACCATGCAAACCAAAAGCAAAAAAGTTGAAATGACTATATTAATATCAGAAGTAGACATCAGAACAAGGAATATAAACACGGATATGGAGTGAAATTTTATAATTATAAAAGGATCAATTTACCAAGAAGAATTAACAATCCTACATATATATACACCTTAAAACAGAGCTTTGAAATACATGAAAAAAAAAAAACCCCAATACAACTGGAGAGAGAAAACAAACACTTCTACACAGTACATAGGCCAAAAGGAAATCACAGTTGAATGAAAACAAAATAAAGCATATCACAATTTGTAAGATGCAACGAAAGCACTGGTTAGAGGGAACATTACATTAAATACTACAAACTAGAAAAGAAGACAGTTCTCCATTCCATGTTCTAAATTTTCACCTTAAGAAACTTGAAGAACAGCAAATACAATCAAAGCAAGCAAAAAGAAGAAGAAGAAAAATAAGTCATTAACCAGGCATAGTGGTGTGTGTGTTTAGTCCTAGCTACACGAGAGGCTGAGGCAAAAAGACCACTTGAGCCCAGGAGTTTGAGGTCACAGTAAACTATGATCGTACCACTACACTCCAGCCTGAGTGACTGAGCAAGACCATGTCTATCTAAAACAAAAACATAAATCAATAAAATTTAAAACAGAAAAATAATGAAAACAATATGAAATCAAAATCTAGTTCTTTGAAAGGTCCAAGGTGGGAGATAATGAAAAGGGGCAATACAAAGCATTTAGTATATAAGACATTTATTTGTAATAACATTTTTCCTCCTGGCAAAGTAAATCATAGCAAAACTCTCACTAAAATGCTATCTAGGAAAAAAAGTCAAGAATATCTGCTGTTGCCTCCAGGAAAAAGACTGCATGATACATTTGAAATGCATGCATACTTTTGTGATTACCTGGCCGTTTATATTTTATGATTACCTGCTGTTATAGATAATAAAAAAATTTGCTTTATTTGACAGTTATGTCTCAGTAAGCAACAAAACTGAATAGTAATTATTCCGCATTGCTAAACTAGTGGAAACTACTAGTAATAGTAAGGATGTTAAATTTGAATAACTAAAAAAATAGAATAACTAGTAGATAGAGAAGAGACCTAGCTTGGGGCAATGGAAGCATGATGGAAATCTGATGGTGATTAGTAGTTTAGGTATACACCAATATATATCAGTGAAAGATTAGTCGAATGTTATTTAACATCATATTGAAAATATAAAATGCTTTATCTACTTAGGTTAAAGGCCTACACTAAAAATGAGCAAACTGAATACTTCTTATGTATTAAACCAATCTGCTAGGAGTCGGCTATGCGAGCCTTAACCTTCTAGTTTGTGAAATCAGAGCAGGCTTTTGCATAAGAGAGGAAAGGGGCAAAAAAAAAAAAAAAAATGGAAGAAAAGAAGAAAACAAAAGTGTGTGACCACGGCTATAAACCAAAGTGATTTTGCAGTTGTTCAATACTAATTAAACACATTAGGCAACTAGCTAAGCCTCTGCAATATTCATAGCCTGTAACAGTTTCACAATCTTTTCCACCAGTCATTTTTACCTTTAGAGTGAGCAAGGAGCAGAAATATAGTTTAACAAAAATTACATGTGTATTAGGACTCCCTGAACATTGAAATACACTCTTCAAATCCATATTGAGTAGTCTCTAAGTGTCTTTTATGAAATAAAATTAGAAAAACTTTCTATTTCACTATTGTAAGTAATAAAAAGATTTGTTTGAAGGTTAATATAGAAGATTCATAATTCAATTACAGACATATTTGGCTTCCATGTCAACTGTGACCAAGACAGAGTATGTAGCTTTTGTTCTAATACTGACTGTGTTTATAAAAAACAGAAATCAAAAAAAAATAGTACTGATTTAGCAGCTATAGGCTTGCTAGGTCATTAGCACTGTATGTGAAAAAAATATACATGAAAAGAAAGTGTTTGACACTTTGCAAATGTCTACTCATACAAAATGTAAAAACTAATATTTACTTGCATTGTACAGTTCAACTAACAATATTCATTAACTTCTGCCAGAATTTTCATTTATTGCTACCTTTCTTTTAACAAATCACTCATTTGTCTACAGATGGCATTTATTCAAAGCATAATGCATGTTACAGCATCATTCAGGGGAGGACCACAATAGCTTAAGAAAAACAACTCTGACAGTCATCCACCCACCTCTGTCATTGTTAAAATCAATGAGGTATATTTACATGCAATGAAGTAATTGTCCGGTATATGAAAGTTATAATTATGAGATAATGTTAAACTAAAAAAAAATGCCACCAAAGTGGCTTGGATCCTGAAAACACAATAAATAACGTACAACTTTTATTCATATTTAACACATATTCAGTTATCAGAATAAATAAAAGCACTTGTTTTAATGTACTCAAAGAGAAATATTATACATTTAACTTTTTTAAAAAGGGGTAATCCTTTTTTATTCTTTATTTTTATGGGCATATAATAATTGCACACATTTATCAGGTACATGTGATACTTTGATAAAAGCATAGAACGGGAAATGATCAAATTAGGGTAATGGGGTAAAAGTCACCTCAAACATTTATCATTTCTTTGTGTTAGGAATATTTTAACTCCACTTCTCTAGTTATTTGGGAATCACTTTCTAATTTCCATTCTCAATCCGAGATTTTTTTTTTTATAAACACGTGCCTTCCATTGTTTCTCTTTTGAATTGGATATGTAGAATTTTTATTTCAATTTTCATTTTTAAATTTTGTGAGTATGTAGGAGGTGTAATATATTTATGGGGTACATGAGATGTTTTTATACAGGCATGCAATGTGAAATAATTACATCATGGAGAATGGAGTATCCATCCTCTCAAGCATTTATCCTTTGTGATACAAATAATCCAATTACACTCTTTCAGTTTTTTTCAAAATGTACAGTTATTATTGACTATAGTCACCCTATTGTTCTATCAATTAGTAGGTCTTACTCATTCTTTCTATTTTTGTGTACTCATTAACCATTCCCACCTCCTCAATCACCCCACTACCCTTTCCAGGATCTGATAATCATTCTGCTACTTTCTATATCCAGGAATTTTTGCACACTAAATATTAATAGTTTGACCTAAGAAAATACAGACACACAAACACACACACATATATACACACAATAGCAAATCTTTGACTTTCAGTATAGCACAGTGAGAAATAAAAAGTGTTCACTCTCATATAATAAACACATATTAAGGCAATTTTTCCAATCATACAAAGTGAAAAATAACTATGAATATTTTATTTCCTAATAATATAAATCTTCAAAGATAAAGTGTATTTTTCTATTAATTTAAAAGAATTATAGAATGCCAATATTTTATTTGTGGTATTCACAACTTGTGCCAGTTCACCTGGTAGTTAAAACATATATTCAGTCTAAATTGTGTCCTCGAATTCTTATTTGCATGATTGCTATTTAGTGAAGTACCTAAATAGGTTAAACATATCTCTTGTTGTAGTTATAAACACAACAAATTATTATTTTTCTTTTCTTAAAATCCATGCAATTCAGCTTTAAAGTCACTAGAATATTTTTACCAGAAATATTTTCTAGTTGCCTACACTGTATCCTCTTCCTTTAATGCAAATGAATACTGACATATTTTGGACTGTTTCAAAATTTTTCATTTATACAGAGTAAAAGTAAAAATACTATTTTTTGCGAGATATACTTAACATTCAGGAAGGATAATTGATGCATTGTAATTGCATTGATGGACTAGAGTTCTCATTCACATAAAAATTGTAAATTACATTCTTTGTTAGTCAATGATGTAAAAGTACATTAATGTCATGAAATAAAGGTCCACAATTGTTTGAAAGTTATTTTAAAAGGAGAAAATTATAGGCACACATATATTCACCCATATATGGTTAACCACCTCTTCTAGGAAGTTAAGTGTTTCTCCTGAAAGTGGTAGTGTAACTTAGACAGTAGAGTACTTTCCTCTGATGAAGTACATCACTCTCTCATCTCAGTGAGCAGTGAATGGGTAATGATGAATGCATTATAGAACTTTTCACTCAATACCATCTGCTTCAGAGAAAAAAACAAAAGGTGAAATTGTCTAGGAAAGTTTAAAAAAGTATGACGTTTCTATCAAAATCCCCATGCTTGCAAAGAAAACCTTCTTTTCTCTCCAAATTAGCATTACTGATTAGAAATGAGAGTCTGTACTAAAATAAATTAAGAAGTATACACTGTCCTCAAAGATAAATCCTGAGAAGAGAATATAATTACCTTCTGAAAATGAAATTTTCAATTCATAGGCCAATGGATGTGACTGAGAATAGAAATTCCATTCTGATTTCTTATGTCTTCCTTTGGATAAGAATTGCATTCTAGGACTCAAGATATGAGGTGTTACTGGTGCAGCCATGTGACTCTTGGTTAAGAATGACTGATGGTCTTGGAAAGCTGTAACACTATAGAATTTTTTTTTTTAAATAGTGATTCTATGAAACAGTCTGTGATGTCTTAATTCTATTTCCTCTTGTTCCATTCACAATGAAAGTGTATGTGTCAATATGGTGAATCTGTAAACAAACATATTTGTGTCAGGATCACATAAGAGTTAAAGACAGATATTGGTGGCACATGTACCACTGGTTCCATCATGTCCTAATGGTGTAAATTGAACAACCTCCTTAACCTCTTTAAGCTTCAGTTTACTAACCCTTAAATTTGAGATGTTAAGTTTATCCCATATGTTTGTTTTGAGAATAAAATGTTAGTGCTTTGAACACGGTAAGCACATGATTTAAGACCTTGATATTATTACTTAATAGTAGTAGTACTTAAACATTTAGTTTGACATAGTTTCTACATTTTCCACAATGATTACTGCCTGATCCATTCTACTGAGAAATAAAAATAAAAAAGCCCATAATTCAATTGAATGACCTCTCCAATTGGCCAAGGGATCCCCAAAGAAACCTTGGAACCTGAGTTTCTGGCCATGACTCAATGGGAAGGCGTCATTCCTTATTATAATCCTTCACTCCCTCACTAACCACCAATAGGCTTTCTTCTCTAAGGATTAAACAGAAACCAACCCTTTCAAGAGACTTGCTGCACTGCTAGTTTTAACCAAGTACCTGATATTGCTCCCTCTTTTTGCGGTTTTAACAAAACAACAGACCAGCACTTCTTCCTAATAATAGACTGCCAGCTATGGGATGGTTCTGGACAGTCTACGGAGGATGCACAGTGAGGGTTTTTGTGTCCTCTACTTCATCTTTTAATGTCAGAGGGCCAAAAACTCCACCCTCATATGCTAACACTGCCATTTTTTGAACATGGATCCCATGGAGAGGCATAAAGCTCAGTTGTACATACACATATTTCTTCTTTCATAAATATTCATGCCTCCTCCTATAGCTTACTGAATATGTATATTTGGCCACTTCATTCAGCACAAATCCATGTCTTATTCTTCCGACCCTTTAAGTATTTGTTTCTGGCTTCTGATTGGAGGCTAGCCTTCCCAGCCTGTCACAACGGCCACTCTGCAGGCTGCAATCCCTTATGGAAATAAAGATTTTCTTTCCAAATGTATGAACCTCATCATTCTTCAGTTGACATTATCATAGTATTGAGAGACTATGAGTTGAGGAGCCATGGATACCTAAGCCTAACAGCACCAATCTATGGTAATAAGACCTTTTGAGAAATATATGTGCATCAAATAATAATAATATTTGATTCCTTTCAAAGAGAGATACCATTAGAATTTGCTCAGCTCTTGAGAAAATAATATATATATATGTAGATCTAAAGATTGCCAAATTCTTTTTAACAGAAATGAAGAATGCCTTTGATGGCCTTATCAATAACTTGGAGATAGCTGAGGAAAGAATCAAAGACTTGATGTCTATTGACAAAACTCGTCAATAGAAGGTTTCCAAAATGAAATGCAAATAATAAATAAAGAATGAATAGAAAAAATAATCCAGCAAAATGGTGGACTCATGTGCTGCTCCCACTTGGAAGGACAGAACAGCATGTGGAGACTCACATCATAAACGTTTGCTCCAAGAACCACCACAGGAACATACCAGAACACCAAAAGAATTCACAGACCCTTTGAAAGAAGCAGCTTGACACTGCAAATCTTCTTGCTTTATTTGGGCCACAATTTTGGCTCTGTGCTTCACAGAAAACAACATAAATAAAGCAACATAATTAGATAAATTATACATGCTGTCAAAAACAAAAGACAAAGCAATTTCTTAGGAGAAATAGACCTATCTTCATCAGAGAACCACCTAACATGTACATATGATCATGTACATACGAAGCTTCTAGCTGCTTATCTTAGAATGAATATGCTTACTTTTTTCTCTACCTAAAAATAAATTTACACACACACACACACAGAGACAGAGAGAGAGACTGTTTTTTGAAACATAAGAAAAATTGATAATAGGTAATAATTAATTAATAGAAAATAATTCTTTTTGCAGTTCCAACAAACAAATCTTTAAATGAAGGTACTATAGATGCAAGATTGTGTGAACTCCTATTATGGTAATAAAAGATAAACTCCAAGAGTGTGGGTATGCTGGTTTATAAAAAAAAAAGATAAATTATACCATATTTATCTACCTCTTTATCTATATATATATATATATATATATATATATATATATATATATATATACTATTTTCTTTATTTTGATCATCAAATTTTTATCTTTAGAAATTAAATTGTCAACAATTAAAGCCCCCTGTGACAGTGTAGCACCTCAGTAGGTTCTGAGACGTACAATTGGGCAACTACATCATACTTTAAAGTTGCCATTTCTGGTATCACTGTTACAGGTGCCAATAGAGTGAGAGCAAAGTCTCACCTTCTGAAAGCCAAAAAAGGAAGAGAACTACTGCAGGCAGATGTGTTACAGTGAACTATTATCCCATGTAAAGAAAGACCTTCAGCTTAAGCAGTTGAAGGTAAAGCAAAATCCTTATTTTGGCAACAGGGAAATCTCTCTCTCTCCCTTTTCCTCCTCCTCCTCCTCCTCCTCCTCTGCTGCTGCTGCTGTTGCTTGTGCTGCTGCTGCTGTTGCTTCTTCTTCTTCTTCTTCTTCCTCCTCCTCCTCCTCTTCCTCTTCCCCCTCTTCCTCTTCCTCCTCCTCCTCCTCACCCCTCCTCCTCTTCTTCTTCTTCTTCCTCCTCCTCCCCTTCTTCTTCTTCTTCTTCCCTCCTCCTCCTCCTCCCACTCCTCCTCCTCCCCCCTCCTCCTCCCACTCCTCCTCCTCCCACTCCTCTTCCCTCTTCTTCTTCTTTTTCTTCTTCTTCTTTCTTTCTTTCTTCTTTTCTCTCAAAATTTTACACCAATAGCATACCTTGTTTACCTTCAGTTTATCTGATTACACTTCTCTGAAACAGCATGTTCAATCTCCATTTCCTGTTAACTCTTACCTGCCCTTTAAAAAAAGTGCAACACTATTTACAAAAGCAAAGACTTGAAACCAACCCAAATGCCCATCAGTGATAGACTGGATAAAGAAAATATGGCACTTATACACCACGGAATATTATGCAGCCATAAAAAAAAGAATGAGTTCATGTCCTTTCTTTTGCAGGGACATGGATGAAGCTGGAAACCATCATCCTCAGCAAACAGGAACGGAAAACCAAATACTGCATGTTCTCACTCATAAGTGGGAGTTGAACAATGAGAACACATGGACACAGGGAGGGGAACATCTCACACAGGGGCCTGTTGGGGGGTTGGTGGGAAAAAAGAGGGAGAGCATTAGGACAAATACTTAATGCGTGCGGGGCTTAAATCCTAGATGATGGATGGATAGGTGCAGCAAACCACCATGGCACATGTATACCTATGTAACAAACCTGCATGTTCAACATAGGTATCCCAGGGCTTAAAGTAAAATTTTAAAAGTACAATAACATAGGTTAGCCAATTTATTCAACCTAAGGGGAAATATAACGTTAATGTGTATTTATAGCATTGACCTACTCAAACTTTCTCTGATAGTAATCTCTTGCAATATATTTGGATTTTAAAAAATTTCTTCTTCATATCTTATATTAGCTTTAAAAACTGGTGATACAAAACAACAGGAATAGTGAAAACAAGAGATTATTTTAAATGTAATCTGTTGACTTTATTTACTTCCCCAGTAATAACAGGATGTACATAGCTTTCATTAAATTAAGCCTTTTTCTCAGTGACTGATACCACATGAATATATTTTGCTTCTTACAGAGTTTGCAGGTTCTTCTTTCTTGCCCTCAAGATACAAATTGTTTTCTTTAATAGAAGACCAATATCGTTTGATGGCATCGAACATCAGTTGGCACTTTTGCCTTCTGCCTCAAGAAAGCAGTCTTTACTACTTATACAAATTCTCTTATTTTTCCATTTTCCCCTATAATATTTTGGCATTGTTGATTCAAAATACGAGCTTCTAAATTCCTAACATTTCCTGCTATATTTTATAATAATAAATATTATGCTTGAGTTTCTGGATTTACAGCCTTATAAATCCTTTAAGCCAATTCAGCAAAAACTAATGATAATCACAAACTAGATTTTAAAAATATCCTATATTTTCCTTTGTTTCTTGATGGAAACTACTACCTTTCCTTAAAGGTATCTTTTCTTTATATCCTTTCTGGTTCTCCCTTTCACACAGGTGCAGCATTAAAATCCAATAACTTGGTACCACAGGGGCAATTCTGCATGAAGAGTACCACTGAAGTACCGATTTCACTTTGAAAATATCACAAGAATATATCTTTTGTTGCTATGCAGGTAATTATCAGTATTGACAGTGTGACTACAAGCAAAGCCCCTTCCTGTACGCACTAAGAAAGGTGATTCACTCTATCTCCAGCTAAATACCTGAACAGATGCCTACCAGAAAGCAATAGGAGGAGAAGAGAAAATTGCTTATAATTCCTAAATAAGATTTTCCTTCCTTAATTATGTTTCTTCCTATCAATTTACTCAATGACAATGATAAGGGGAAAAACTGAAATGCATAAGAGATATTTCTTTAAAAATAAATTATACTGATGCTACTATGGGAGAGGGGGGCAAGAGAGGGAGAAATCTTTATTCCCACAGAGACACATTCTTCTAAACTCTGTAAAAGTAATTAAAGCTATTATTACTATATTCATATTTCTAGTTTACATTTTTTGCCACCAGTCCTATGTATAAATCTATGCTTATTTTAAAATGCTAAAAAAATAGGCTTTAAAGTTCTTTGGAAAGCTAAATATTTCACACTTCAAAGCATAAGTCTTAAAAGAAGCAATTTCTTGGCATTGATTTTTTAGTAAATACAAATGTTAAGAGTCCACTAATTGAAACAGAATAAGCACAAGCAAAATGAGGTAGAGTAAAGCAATTAACCAAGAGAAATGTGAATCAAATACAGTTAAGAACCAAATCTTCACTTGAGTTTAGCCATTGTTACTTTTCTACCCAATAAGTCAAAAGCATGATTCAATATAATGCATCTTTTGCAATTTTATAAACCACAAGGTTTGAAATTGTGTGTAATCCAGACCTAGGGAAGAAAAACATTTCATAGCTCTATCATTTCAGCTAAATCACATTTTCTGCTATTGTCATCTACATGACATATCTGTTATGCTTCCAATAATACACATAATTCAGATAGCCCGTTCACCAATATAGAATTTATCTGTAGAATGAATGGTTGTAGCAAGAAGAAAATAGTGCTTTATAATTTTTCTCTTTCTTGAAGCCTAACAAAGCAATTAAGAGAGGGGAATGTTTACCATTTTGATGGGTGTTTAAACAGAATGCCAAACCACGTTCTAGCTTAAATATTGTGTGGTATGATTATGTCTATGTGACAGAGATACTATACAAGATTGTCCTCTGCTGAACTATGACAACATCAAGCATGTTATTGGATGACATATAATTTAGGTTAATTCTAAAAATCCATTTGGTTTTGTAAAGAGCTTCTCACAAATGGGTCCTGCATGATTAAAATAAGTAAAGCCTCAATCAAGAGAAGTCATGCTAGCAAAATAAATTCCACCAAAATACTTTAAAACTTATTTCAAATTAGCAATCAATGGCTTGTCCACCACCTCCTCTAGTTCTCAGAAAGTATATAATACAGCACACAGTAATCTAATATTGGTACTTCCCAGCTTAAATTGTATCATTCTAAATATAATTAGCCAATTACATTTTTAAAAATATGTTAATGTTAAGCAGGCATTTATATAGATAAATTCTATATAGATTTGAATAAAAGTAAAAAATACTATTTCTTGGCTGGGCGCAGTGGCTCACGCCTGTAATCCCAGCACTTTGGGAGGCCGAGGCGGGCGGATCACAAGGTCAGGAGATCGAGACCGTCCTGGCTAACACGGTGAAACCCCGTCTTTACTAAAAACACAAAAAATTAGCCCGGCATGGTGGCAGGCACCTGTAGTCCCAGCTGCTGAGGAGGCTGAGGCAGGAGAATGGCGTGAACCCGAGAGGCAGAGCTTGCAGTGAGCCGAGATCGATCGCGCCACTGCACTCCAGCCTGAGCAACAGAGTGAGACTCCGTCTCAAAAAATAAAATAAAGAAAATAAAAATAAAAAAAATACTATTTCTTTAAAGAATAGTAATAAATGAAGCATTTCACTTTATTACACGCATTCCAGTAACTTTGGCAAACACTGACATTTGTGGTGTTTCTTCCCCCTTCTACATGAGCTTGACAAGGCAAATTAATTTCAGATGCATCTAACTCTATGAAATTGACAAACTGCTTTTACGAAAAAACTGCAGTTATTTGCAAAAGTCTTATATTTCAAATAATAATGATAAAGGGAATTTTCTGTAGCTGAAATTACTATTCTGATAAACACATGTTAAAACATGCTAAGATGCCCTGTCTCACTTATAAATATGGAAAATTATATCTAGGCATCAATGAGACAATTTTTTCATCTATTCATTTCTTAATATTAAAACACTTTAAGGCTGGCAAGGTGGCTCACACCTGTAATCCCAGCACTTTGTGAGGCCGAGGTGGATGGATCACAAGGTCAGGAGTTCGAGACCAGCTTGGCCAACATGGTAAAACCCCGTTTCTACTAAAAATACAAAAATTAGCCTGGCATGGTGGCATGTGCCTGTAATCCCAGGTACTCAGGAGGCTGAGGCAGGAGAATTGCTTGAACCCGGAGGCAGAGGTTTCAGTGAGCCGAGATTATGCCACTGCACTCCAGCCTGGGCAACAGAACAAGACTCCGTCTCAAAAAACAAAAAACAGAAACAAACAAACAAAAAAAAACACTTTAATAGTATCCAGTATCTGCAAAAGTGTAGGGGAAGAGTAACCTCATACACACTTAGTGGGATTATAAACTAGTTTACCCTTTTTGTCAGGCAGCTTAACAATATCTAAAAATACATGTGTTTTAATGTACATAGAGAGAAGATGAATAGAAGACTGAAAGATGACACATGCCATACACATATCTGATTATTTTTATCAAGACTATGTAAAGAATATAAGAATAATTAAGTAAAAATAATCAAATTTAAAAATCAGCTACATTTATGAATAGTTTAATCAAGAGAAGAAAAACACATAATAAGTAATACATTTTTGAATAGATATTCAACCATATCAGTAAACTAGAAAATGTACATAAAAGACAAAATGAAGTTCCATTTTACAATTTTCACATTTGAACAATTAAAATATGGTGTCAAATGGCTATGGGATGTTGAGCAACAACTCTCTTGTACTACTTAGAGACTTCAGATAGGTTGAACATGCAACTCAACAATTTTAATAACAGGTAAATACCCAAGAGTAACTTTAAACATGAGCAACAGAAAGCATGTACAAGGTTGTTCTTTGTAGCAGTTTTTGTTATGGTCAAGTATTGTAAACAACAGAACTTGAAAATATCAATAGGGAACTAATTTCTGTGAAATGTTCATACAAAACACTACAAAACAGTGGAAGTGGAGGGACTAAACTTACATATGCCAATAAATAAGAACATGCAAAAGGAGTCAACAGCAGAAAGGTCTGTACATGACTACACCATTTATAATGTATAGTATATGTAATAAAAATACAAAAAATAATAATTGGGGGTAATAAACACCAAATTCAGAATTGTGAGTTACTCTGGAGAGAGAGGAAGCAGATTGGGAACAGAGGAGTATTCACAACTCTGAGAGTTCAATTTTTCCTTTTTTTTTTTTTTTTTTTTTATGAGATGGAATTTCACTCTGTTGCCCGGGCTGGAGTGCAGTGGCGCGATCTCGGCTTACTGCAACCTCTGCCTCCGGGGTTCAAGCAATTCTCTTGCCTCAGCTGCCCAAGTAGCTGGGATTACAGGTGCCCACTGCCACGTCCTGCTGATTTTTTTTCTTTTTTTTTTTGTAGACCGGTTTCACCATGTTGGCCAAGATGGTCTTGAACTCCTGACCTCAGGTGATCCACCTGCCTCAGCCTCCCAAAGTGCTGGGATTACAGGCGTGAGCCACTGTGCCCAGCCAAGAGTTCAATTTTTAATAATAAAGGGTGATATGACACAATCATGGCAGAATGGTAATCTTTGAAAATATTAGAGGATAGAAACAATTATGTATTATCAGTCTTTTTTCTTAATGATTGAAAATTTTAATAATAAAACTTGCACATTCCTTTTCATCCAACAATTCCATTGTTTCCATGACAGATAGACTAGTAATAGAGCATTACAATTTCTGCTCAATGATATTCATTGCAGCATTGTCTGTTTTAGCTAAAATTTAGACATTACCTAAGTAGTTATGAACAGGTTAAATCAGTCATGGTCCATCAAAGTCATTAGAATACCATGCCACCGCTAAAATAATGAGATATATCTATTCTTTTTAATGTAGAAAATTCTGCAAGACATACTTTAAGTGAAAAACAAAACAAGACATCAACACTTGTGTATAGCAATACTCACTTGGTTAATAATTTTAAAATCATCTATATGCATATAAATAAATGTTGGTATACAAATTTTGGGTGGAAGTAAACAGAAAAAGCTTTTTTTTTTTTTTTTTTTGAGACAGAGTCTCACTCTGTTGCCCAGGCTGGAGTGCAGTGGCGTGATAGATCTCGGCTCACTGCAAGCTCCGCCTCCTGGGTTCACGCCATTCTCCTGCCTCAGCCTCCCGCGTAGCTGGGACTACAGGCGCCCGCCACCACGCCCAGCTAATTTTTTGTATTTTTTAGTAGAGATGGGGTTTCACTGTGTTAGCCAGGATGGTCTCGATCTCCTGACCTCGTGATCCACCCACCTCGGCCTCCCAAAGTGCTGGGATTACAGGCGTGAGCCACTGCGCCCGGCCTAGAAAAAGCTTTTAACAGAAATTATCTGTTGTAAGAGGTGTTTGTGAGCAGTGAAGAGAGGTGCTGAGGGAGACACTAACTTTTACTTTCATATCTTACAGTGGTGTTTAAATGTTTTACCATGTATACACATGTTAATACTTTTATTTTTAATATAACTGATGTTATCTTGGTACTGAGATTATGGTTCATTTTATTTTCTTCTTTATTCTGAATGCCAATATAATCTTCTTTGCAATGGAAACAAAAGAAGAGCTACTTTTAAAAAAAATACAACTAAAGCTTTGTCTATATGACTGATGAACTCATTCAACTTTGTTAAACAATTCTCTTCTAAAAACAACCAGAGAAATCACTTATTAACATGAGTGGATTGGCCTGAGAAGACAAAATGGTCAATGAAGTTTCCTCTAACGTAATAGGCTAATACCTATGGCCTTTCTTGTTTAGGTCAGACAACTGAATCTCCAAAGTGATCAAAGACTTTGTGAAATGCTATGTGAATCCTTGAATGAATGTTTATTATTATGGGGAGGGAGTTCATGGCTTGAATATGATTAGAAAAGTATCCATTATTAACAGTAAATTGTTTAAGGTGTGTGAAATGTGGTGTTAAGGGTATTGTATTGCTTATGTCATTTGGCCCTCAAAATAATCCAAAGAGGTAGGCAGTATTATTGTGTACATTACACAGAGGAGGAAACCTGATGGCGCATGAATATGTACTTCCTCAAGTCACAACCCCCAACCATTCTTACAATATATATTACTTTGTAGGAGGTGTTAGGGGCAATAACAAAATAAATATAGAATATGATTTGCATGCATTGAAAATTGCTCAGACACAACAAACCATTATTGTCTCTTAAAATTCTTCAGTTATATGTTCACTTGCACCAAGTGGCAGAGACCAGAGTTGGCTTCCATAATATGTAGCCAAGTCCTTTCTCCAATACCTGCTTATTTCACTCATGCACAGGTTGGAGAAGTGGAATTCAGTGATTAAGCTCAAAGACCAACCTATTGCCTACCCCTCACAGTTCTTCTTAAACTCTGCTAGAACAGTTCCAAAATTATGTAAGCAGGAAGGAGGTAAGTTGCAATCCATTTGAACTCCTACTATATAATTTTTCCTTAAAAGTCAAAATTCTCTTTTCAGAAAAGAATAATGTTTCTATATCCACACATAAAACTTTAAGATAAATAACAAACAGTAGGATATTCTTACTATATATCAAAACTTGAAGGTACAGTAAGGATAAATGTCTTGTATAAATTTTTCTGATTTAGCAATCAGAGGAGATAAGAGTGAAATTTTTACTCTACATTTCTATGTGATCGAGTGAAAGACTTAACTTCCCTACATAGATTATTTGAATATAAACGAGGATAGAATGAAAATGTATTCATTCTTTTATTACACAGTAGGCATGATACACATGATCATAACTTGCCCTTACCACACTAAAGCTGCCAAATATCCTTACATTTCTTTGAAAGTCCAAAGTATGCATTTCTATTTTTACTCCTTGTCACCATTCTCAGTAGACAGACAATATTGAAAGAAACTTCCAATTTTCTTTCATGTTAAAAGAAAATACAATATGTAAGTATTTTTGAATCTGTTCCTATCTCTTTTCATAACTTTTGATTCCTGTGAGAGTGGAAACATAGTTTTGTGAGGTTTTTGCTTTGATGAGGGTGGGCTAGGTCATTTACAAAATATATAGTAATCACATGACATTTGTAAATTTTATAAAATTTCTTTTATCCAAAAGAATTATGCTTTTAATATTAAACAGTGGAACTTCAGTGACGTCTTCTTATATTCTGCCGCTATCACCATTTTGCAGAACTCATTCCAACCATCTTCTTAAAGATAAGATAGTAATTGGACTCAAATGAATTACTCAGTCCTATTTACCATTTTGAAAATGATGATCCAAACTAGGAAAATTTTTAAATCCTACAAGGAAACTTGAAAATGTGAGTCACTTTGATTTTCTTGTTAGATTTTATCCAGAAGACAAAGCTTTGCTTATTATCAGGTCTTCTATTTTCCTGATTGCAATCTCATTTCCCTTGCCCTTGAAAAAACACATTTGCAGTGACCTCCAGCTTGTTAAATATTCAGCAGAAAGTTTATGGACTTTCCCATAACCTTGATTAAAAGCCTTCTGGGAAACTAAACGCTGAAAGAAGAACTTTATTTGAAAAGCAACTTAAGTGCTCCATGCTGATTTCTGTTTCACTAATACTACATATAATCAGCAGTCACTGACATAAAATGAGGACAGAGGTAAAATATTGAAAAGCAATCTTTCTCTTTTCATGAGTTACTGTAGTAGCAGACTAAACGAGATATTTACAACTTGACTTAGCAGAAAGAAGAGATTTATTTTTAAACCCCCAGGAGATATGCATAAAATGACTTGCAGATTCACATTCTACAAAAAAAAAAAAAAAAAAAAACAAAAAAAAACGTAAATGCCCGGACACATATCCCAGTACACACGTATAAACAGATACTCAGAACACACAGTAATGACACATGAAACAACTCATGATGTTTTGAAACAAAATAGGAGTTTTGAAAACTTTAAAGGTGAAGATCTAGGTGAAAATTAATAATTAAGACTAATTTAAGATGAGCTTCTTGTATTTTATCAGTGATTTTTGGTTTATCATTTATTCGTTGTATTCTTTTGTTCTGGAAGTTCTCCATTATCAGTATCTCAAGAGGCAAGGTAGTAAAATTTCCATAATTTAAATGCACTATTCATCTTCAATTAGAATCTTTGGTATATATACATATATATACACACACGCACACACTTTTGGCAAATATATGAAATTATAAACACGTATAAAAGAACAAATGCATAGTTGAAAATACAATGTTAATTACTTGTCTTGTATTTGCCTAAGAAGCAATTGTGAAATTTAGCAGTTGTTCCTTATAGATGCTGTTTAAGTTGTCTGTTTACTCTATTGATAGTTATTTTGCTGTGCAGAAGCTCTTTCATTAAATTAGATTCCCATTTGTCAATGTTTGCTTTTGTTGCACTTGCTTTTGTGGTCTTGAAATCTTTGCCAGTTCCTATGTCGAGAATGGATGCTTAGGCTGTATTCCAGGGTTTTATAGTTTGGGGTTTTACATTTAAATCTTTAACCCATCTTGTGTTGATTTTTGTATACGGTGTAAGGAAGCGGTCCAGCTTCAATCTTCTGCATATAGCCAGTTATCCCAGCACCATTTATTGAATAGGGAGTTCTTTCCCCATTGCTTCTTTTTCTCAGCTTTGTCAAGGACCAGATGATTGTATGTGTGTGGCCTTACTTCTAGGCTCTCTATTCGGTTCCACTGGTCTATGTGCCTGTTTTTATACCAGTACCATGTTGTTTTGGTTACTGGATCCTTGTACTATAGTTTGAATTAGAGCAGTGTGACGCCTCCTGCTTTGTTCTTTTTAAGATTTGCCTTGGCTATTCAGGCTCTCTTTTGGTTCCATATGAATTTTAAAATAGCCTTTTTCTCGTTCTGTGAAGAATGTAATCGGTAGTTTGATAGGAATAGAATTGAATCTGTAAATTGCTTTGGGTAACACGGTCATTTTAATGATACTGATTCTTCCTATCCATGAGCTTGGAATGCTTTTCCATTTGTTTGTGTCACCTAGGTTACAGAGTTATTGACAGAACCTAGACTGTATATCAGGTCCCCTTTTTTCTAATCATATTCATTCCACTGAATATACAGTACCAAATATTTGTGCACGTGTTAATTTGATAACGGAATTAATCTTTCCTTCAAAAGCAGAAAGGAGTAAAGGACATGAAGGATTAATTCATGTAACCAGCTTAAGGCCATTTACTTTTTCACAAAAATGATTATATCTCTTTAAAGCCATTTTTACATTTGCTTAAAGTAAAAACGTAGATTCAAGGACAAAAAAGCAGAATACAAATGAAGCGTTATCATTTGATCCATAGTAATTTTTCAAAACTTCAAATTATTGCTTCCAGAACCCTCATGTTTGCCTAACACTATCTTCATTAGATAATTACTTGTTATAAATCAGCACAGGCTGAAGTCTGATAGGACATTCAGCATTCCAGATGTACAGAAGTTTCTTTACTAACTTCAAGATAAAATCCTTTAAAACAAATTGCATTGATTAAAAAACATAGTCCTTATGCTTCCTGTGGAATTTTTTAATAAAAGGTGGCATATTGCCTTGTGGTTACTGGCAATAAATCACCTTAAAATATTACAATGAAATGGCTTGGTCTCATGTAATACAGCCATTGTAAAGAAAATTATAAAAATATTCTTAAAATTTGCAATGAAACACTCTTGTGATGAAGTAAAACAAAATTGTGCTGCCATGTCTACACAAGAAAAAAATGTAATATTAAAAATGTTTTACTTCCGTGACGATTTGGAGTTATAAAAATGCCAAGTATACTATTATTCCTTCCTGTTGAGAGTTAGTTTGCTTCATCTTCAATATATTCAATATTCCTCCACACCTTGAGGAGGAATGTTTATTTGTGCTTATGCCTATGTGACAATAAGCCTGATTATAAGTTTGCAATGACACATTATCAATCTACTTTTTCTAACATCTCAAAAAGTAGCCTGTACATTTAAATATGAAAAAAGGAAAATTTTGACTATATATTTATTATTGCTGGTGCTATTGTAAGATGTGAAACTATTCATCTCTGGGGAAACTTTGGATGGTTAATTTGAGAATGCTAAAATAATTTGAAACAAATAAAATAATCAGTTTTAAACTGCATGAAGTTCTAATTCCAATGAGCCACAATGTTCTTAACTTGGCTATCTTTGATTCCTACCATGGAATAGAAAAAGCCACATAGTGTGAGAGATGAAAACACACCTGCCTACAATTTCCTTAAGCATCTATATTCAGAAAACATCATGCATCCTAAAAACATAGACTTCCCTTCATTTTATGCCCATTACACTCAAGGCACAAAGCCTCATAAAACATACTGGGAGAAGGAGATTGCAATGAAAATGAATGGTGATAATTAAAAAAGATGCAAGAACAAATAATCAGTCAATATTTTTTCACTCTTTGGAATTAAACTAGGATATATAAGTAAGCAATGAGATAAAAAAAAGAAATAAAACTTACACATAATCAGCAGTTACCTAATTAAAGTTCCTATCATAGAATATATCCACATTGAATAGCTAAGCAAATATGTTTCCCAAAACTATGAGAACTTTAACAACAGGACGTTTCTTTTTTATGACTCAATTGCATACACAACAAACAAATTCTTCTGGATATAGGCAAAAGTGGTCAAATAAAACAGTCCAGCACCCCACATTCAATGGAAAACTTATCTGCATCTTTTTTGTCTACTTCCTGTGACTTTCTTGGCTTCCTTTGTTCACCTTTCCCAGTCTGATAATTGTTTGCAAAAGTTGACACTTCAACACTAGCAATGATCCAGAAGAATTCTTAATCTGCTTGAGTTAATAGGAATCACAATGACTTCACCTGCAGAGATGTTTGCTGACTTGATTAGTTGACAGCGCAGCTGGTACTCTGCTTTGCTAATGCCCTATCTGCCCTGTTATTCTTCTGATCAGTTTCCTAGAAATGAAGAGCTTGTCTATAGTTGAACACCTAAAATAAAAACGGCATTTATATTCACCTAGATGACATGGGTGACGTATAAATGGAGTGCATTGTTTTTCAAATAAAAATTATCAGAAAAAGGCCGGGCACGGTGGCTCACGCCTGTAATCCCAGCACTTTGGGAGGCCGAGGCGGGCGGATCACGAGGTCAGGAGATCGAAACCATCCTGGCTAACACGGTGAAACACTATCTCTACTAAAAATACAAAAAAAAAAAAAAAATTAGCCGGGCGTGGTGGCCAGTGCCTGTAGTCCCAGCTACTCGAGAGGCTGAGGCAGGAGAATGGCGTGAACCCAGGAGGTGGAGCTTGCAGTGAGCCGAGATCACGCCACTGCACTCCAGCCTGGGCAACAGAACGAGACTCCGTTTCAAAATAAATAAATAAATAAATACAAATAAGATGTGTGGATTTTTGTGTGCATGTACACATTTGTGTGTGTGGACAGATATACAGAAAGAAGAGAAAGTCTCTTTATTGAAGAATCAAGCAAATATGCACTGACCTTCGAAACTTTCTATAATGCTTTTCTGCACTTTACTATGAGACTTATCTCAAAGTCCCTATAATACAAACTCCAGTATGGTAAAATTTTATGTATCTTAAAATATAATACAATGTGTTTGAGGCTTTAGGACAGATTGTCATGAGTTATTTTAATGCCTCAATTTATCATGGCCAATTGCTGCTCTGCTCTCCTTCATCTTTACCTGGGTCAGCTGCTAAGCACATTTGTTAGAACTTTGCTACCCAAAGTGTAGCCCCCACACCAACAGCATTCACATACCCTGGGGACTTGTTAGAAATGAAAACTCTCTGGTCCCTACACCCAACTGCTGAGTTTGCATTTTAACAAAATTTCTAGGTGGTCTGTATGCATTTGAAACTGAAAAGTGCTGTGTGAGAATATGATTATCTTATAATTTTTTTTTTTTTTTTGACACGGAGTCTGGCTCTGTTGCCCAGGCTGGAGTGCAGTGGCGCTATCTCAGCTCACTGCAAGCTCCGCCTCCAGGGTTCATGCCATTCTCCTGCCTCAGCCTCCCGAGCAGCTGGGACCACAGGCGCCCACCACCACGACCGGCTAATTTTTTATATTTTTAGTAGAGACGGGGTTTCACCTGTGTTAGCCAGGATGGTCTCAATCTCCTGACCTCGTGATCCGCCCGCCTCAGCCTCCCAAAGTGCTGGGATTATAGGCGTGAGCCACCACGCCCGGCTAAAATATTTTTAAATGCTGTAAATATATGTATATATGCAGACAAATACATGCACTTTCATTTAATACAACAATGCTACAAAGCAACTGCTTTTATTATTCTCATTTTAAGGATGCACAAAGCTGAGGCACAGGAAGCCTAAATGTCTTGTCAAATGTCATACTACTAGGAAGGAGCAGACTTGATATTCTATTCTAGGCAATCTGGTCCCACTCCAATAGAATGCTTCTCTTCATAACGAGTTATTTAGTCTTATATACTTTAATAACCACTAAAATGTGTTTTGTAGATAAGAGACTAAGAAAGAAACAGAATATAAGAGAATTAAACATATCTGCATCTCTTACATTTTAATGTATTTTAAAAATCTTATGGGTATTAAAATTCTCTGATTTCAAAAAAAAATCTTTCTGGGAGCAGACAAAGAAATTCATGGTCTTTTGAAAACAAGGTCTCTGAAGGTCAACTTTTTTTTTCTTTCTGCAAAAAATAGTATTGCTAAAGCAGCTCTGAAAGTTCAGTTTCAAGCGTATGATAAATTTCCCTTATGCAGTGAAATTCCAATTCTCTGCCCTGAAAGCAGTATGTTTTTACCCTGTATTGAGTACTAACACATAGACAGATTCACTTCAGACTGTTGGGCATTATGGGATCTTTCTAGATGAAAGGTTTTTTTACTTAGCCACAGTTCATATCCTTTGAAACCCTGAGGGGATATTTGCCAAAGTTACATGGGTATTGAATTGGGCTCAGTTTGTTTAAGATCTTTCGCCATGATATTTGGATTTCAGATATTATATTTCAGAAGTTAAGCTGTTTTGCAAAAATGTAATGGCTAGTTATTTCAGAAGGGAAGACTTAATAGTTCAATACTATGGCACTTTGAATTGAAATTTCAATATTTGGATTTAATTTGGGTCAAATCCTAAAACTCCAGTTTTCTACTTGAATAAAAACATATTTGTGTGAAATTTTTCAATGTATCCTGTTCTTCTGTCCAGTACAATTCATAATCAACTGGGGGAAGAGAAATTAGAAAACATTATTACTGCAAAGTTTGCAATGGATTTAAACTAGTAAAAGTAGCTTTTATAGAAGATTATCTGAACGAAGAAAACAAACACAAACAGCTGAATCAAATACATGATTTATCCAACAACTGAGAATGCCTTTGGTGCATTCATATATCAAAAATATCTCTAATGAGTACTCTGTCCTTGTAACTACAGTCTGAATGAGGCAAAGATCCCTGAATTCCTTGTTAATACTTAACTTAGTCTTTAAAAATCAGATTAATTAGCTACATTCTTTAAAAGAATGTAGAAGACATGTATGTACCTCTGTAAAGTTGACTCCTCCCAGGTTGCAGTGAGCTGAGATCACGCCACTGCACTACAGCCTGGGTGACAGTGAGATTCCGTCCCCCCACCCAAAAAAAAAAAATTGACTCCTTCTTCAAATCAAATTTAAGAGGCATTTCTGCAATATGAGGACACACATTTTCCAAAGAGACAGAATACAGTTAAATGGAACAATCAGTTAGAAAAAATTGTCAGGTTCAGTTTTAGATTAAGTTACATGCATAAATCTAAGGAAATCACAGTCTAAACTCAGCCCTGGAAAACAACATCATTAAAATAAAAATTATAGTGAGCCAAGTGAACCTTGCAATGCACTATTGATAAGCCAAGGAGTAGGAGTAGAATCTTCTAAAAGTTAATTAAAACTCACTGTTTTTTTTACATGCTTCAATAATATTGTCCTATAAAACTAATGCTATTTTCAAGATGATCAAGTATTCTTCTCAAAATATTTTTATTTTTGCATGACTTTCTTAATCCAGAGCATCAATTTCTATGATGTCATCTATTAGTATAAATAAAAGCTAACAGACTTTATATGTAAGACAAACTTCATATAACTTAATGGATTGAGCAGAGTACAACTCCTTTTCATCTCTAGGATAAACAACTAGAGATGAAAAGGAGTTGTACTCTGCTCAATCCATTAGAACTAGAACTAGAGATAAAAGCAGGAAAGCAGGATAACTTTTTTTTTTTTTTTTTTGAGACAGAGTCCCTCTGTCACCCACCCAGGCTGGAGTGCAATGGTGCCATCTCGGCTCACTGCAATCTCCCCCTCTCAGGTTCAAGCAATTCTCCCACTTCAGCCTCCCAAGTAGCTGGGATTACAGGCACCCACCATCATGCCCAGCTAATTTTTGTATTTTTGTAGACACGGGGTTTCACCATGTTGGCCAGGCTGGTCTTGAACTACTGACCTCAGGTGATCCACCCATCTCGGCCTCCGAAAGTGATGGGATTACAGGCATGAGCCACCGTGCCCGGCCAAAAGCAGGATAACTTTTATAGGACATTTATATAACTATAAAAGTTATCCTGCTTTCATCTCAAGTTCTAATCATTATCCAAAAAGGACTATTATAATAGGGTTTACCCAAAACATTTTGACTATATGGCACACTATTAACTCAGTCGATTGAGTCTATGAATATCAATTCCTTGTTAACTGAGACTTCATTCTTCTGGAAAGTAGAAGTAGCATAGAGTTACACAGGAATTTCATATAGAGGAAGAGCTGAGTTTACAGCAGAATGCATAAAAGATATATTCACATATTCTGCGTTTCTCCTCCTGGAGATTCTGTTTATGCACTTTTCATCATATTCAAAGGAAATCTACCTTCTAAAATTCATTTTTTAATTCCAAGTTGTTCTGGAAGTAATCATACACACACGTACACACAATTTAACTACATTAGATAAGCATAGTGAAAAGTGGCTAGTTTTCCTGACATAGAGATCATTATCATTCAGCATGTTTACAGTTTTTTCTGCAGTACTTTCACTGGTTAGCACAAACAGTAATTTTAGAAATCGGCAGTCTGTATTGCTCCAAATGCTCTTCCAGGGCATTTTTAAAATGGGAACCTTTTTTAAAAAAAAAAAGGGCCTCATCACATATAAAAAAGTTCTCCATTTGGATATATTGTAACAGTCCCCTTGAGTGATGATAATGCTAAATTTTATACTACTTTTCTCTCATGAGTTGTTTCATTTAAATTTCAAAAGTAGCTGCTTACCAACATTAGTGACTCTTATTTTAGAACACGATAAACGATACACATCAAAACTTAATTTAGAACATTAAGTTGTTGCTTAAAAGGGCCAAATCTCAGTTATCTCATTTGCATAATGAGGGAGCTGGACTAAATAGCACCCAAGGTCCCTTAGAGCTCTAGAATTTAAAGACAATGTAAAAGGCAACACCTGCACATGTAAATTCTGGGATTTTAATAGTTACAAAATTATGACCCTAGAAGGGGCACTAGAGATTCGTATAATCCCTTCATTATATAAATTAAGAAAAAGAGACAGTGAGGTTAAAAGACCTATCCAAGTTCACAGAGCTAGTTAATTGTAGTAAACGGACTAGAGTTCTGTAATACGTAAGATGATTGCCTAAAACAAATTATCTACAATGGTCTGTGCTGAAAAGGTTTCATGAATAGTGATTACACAAAGAATTACCGCAATAAAAATTCGTATTCAATGTTCAAATATTTTTATCATATAATTAGATACCCCAAAATAATATTTAAAATTACCAGCCTTTCAGGTCTATACAAATTGCAAGAGAAGAATTTTCTAAGAAAAAAATAAACTTTTAATGGCTTATTTCATATACACTATTCAGAAAAAGTTTGTTTAGATAACATACAAACATTTCCAATATAAGATTGATTAAAAAAAGAAGTGCCAGATAAAGACCATGTACCTAGTGGAACTGGGAAAACAATTTCTAAGATTATTGATTAAGAGAGAGAAAAAATTGGCTAAGCGAACACTGTTATCTCTATTCTATTCTCTATTGAGCATCTTCAATATTCAATAAAATGTAAACTAAAAAATCACAGAAATCATGGTAAGACAGATGGTCTATAGTTATTCATTTTTTAATGAATTCCTTGATATATTCACCAGTTGTTGAATGTTCTGTTGATGAAAGCAATCATGAGAGTTGCAAGTTATTGTACAATTTTAAAAGTGTCATGGGGATTAAAAATATGTTGCTATAATACTCCTCACTCATTAAAATTTATAAATCATTTTAAAATAAGAAGTTGATGTGTGGCTAACACTACTAAATATTCCAAGTCACCCAAATGCTACATCTTGAATGACTGATTATACTGACTTTCAAAGAACTTCAAAAAATAACAAATGGCAAATAGTCTGTCTTATAGGCAAAGGAAAGTGAGAAGTAAGATTTTTTAAAAAGCAGAAGAAAGAATGTTGTCATAAAATGAATCGCCTCATGGCTCATAAATTATAGAAACACAAATGTTAAATGACCTTTATTATTTGGTGTAGGAAGCTTAATAAAATTTAGAAGCAAGAGAAGGTTTATTGTGAAGAGAAGGCCACCTATTCTCTGCCACTTTAGGTGATTATTCAAGCTTATTGACATTCCAGACCTATGGCATTGGCTTTCAATTGGCAGCTTGTGCCAGTCTCCTAGTGCTTGTCACTTTCAAACAGAAAAGACAAGATAAGAGATTGCTTTACTTATAGTGGCCTGCTTTTGAGTGATCAACCTCTATCTAATCCATATTATATTTAAGATATTAAAGATACACTCGTCTTAGAGACTGTCACCCAAATAAAATCCTGTAAATGTCTTCAAGTCTCCAACTTTAAAGATACACTTCTCATTTTAATTCATGACCTCTATAATTTTTTAAAGATTATCTCTAGCATAAAGCTTTTGTTGCCTTCACAAAGCCTATATACTCCAAATTAGCAGTCATTTTTCAATTGGTCTACATTGAGATTGCATCTCTTATATAGGGAAGTTGAATATGATAGGATGGTATCGTAAGACGTGTTTTACCCATTTTTCTTATTATAATGTATTTATAAACTTTCAGAAGCTTCAATAGAGAAAGATTTACTTTTGAAAAGCACGTCAGTTTAAATGGTAAAATTAATATACGTCACAGAGCATCTGCTATCAGATCACTGTTTATACCTGCCTAAGCACATTTATTATAAAAACTACTGTCACTACCAAGTATACCTTATTCTCTCTAAAACAATGGCAGATGGCTGAACTCTTGGGTGGAACCATTCTTTATAACCTATTTATATATAGATACTTTTCTAACACTATTTACATAACACATCAGGGACTAAAATAAACTGGTAATAATCATAGACAGTATCAATTATTACAATGATATTTCATTTGAAAAAGAATAAAAGTGACTTTGATATTATTGTTACCTTAAAAATATTAATAAATATTAAGGAAATTTTTAAATTTTCAGTAGCAGCATAAAGCTATATATTGTTTTCTGTTGGCAAGGCAATGAAATAGAGCAGGCATATGTCCTATATTTCCAGAACCCGGGGCCATGGAGTTCAACCTCTTTCTTGAAATAGACCATAACTGATATCATTGATAATGATAACATCACTCCTTAGAAATATTGATTGATTCATTTTTCAAAACACATGACATTAAGCTTGCTGAGCTGATTTAAATTATTTTACTCCCCCCTCTCTACCATGGACTGACACTATTATATAGGCTACTGAGCACAGTTTTAAGAAATAATCTTACAAATACATAGCCTACAGAGTCAGAATTGGCCTTGCTACGTAATTAACCTTTAAAGGGAGCATAATTTCTTTTTGTTAAGTGGAATATATTTCCCATTTGTTTCATGTAAAAATATTAACAAAATGATGCATTCACTTTTCTTTTTATTGTAATACATGAATTGATATGTGACTTTCGTCAAAAATGCATTTTAAAGAAATATTAGAAAGCCCATGGAGTCAAATTTTCCTGGGCATATAGCAGCAAACAAAAACACTTAATTAACAGTTATACGGGTAACATTAGCTGAACTGTGGACTCAGATGATTTTCTGCCACATCAGAAGTGTTACTCTTCTCTTAAATATACTAACCAATACTACTCCTTTTTTCTATAATTGAATCATATTTTCTCCTTGAATTTTTTAGATAAATAATTAGATCACTGCTTTCCCCAAGGTACTAGTATATCAATATTTTCCAGGGAAAAATATTTCCATGGCTTTATTTTGCTTTTAGACAACTGACTCCTAATGTTTTTAATTATGAAAGGCTGAGTTTTAATGACCCATTACTAGCTTATTCTTTTAAAGTTTCACAGTTTTTGGTTTTGATTTTTTAATTTTACCAGTAGTCTACCTTTAGAATTAGATATTCAAATAATGAGATGTTCAAACACTTACTAGTAATTACCCTAGTGTTATTCATGTCAATACTCTTAGCAGATCAGGAGAAAATCTGGCATTTCTCTGAGTAGAAATTCATTCTAGTCAATCAAATTGGTCTCCCACTTTTTATACCAATTTATTAGATTACTGGTAGAAGATCAATCAAAGTGCCTTGCCAGGGAAAGATTAATTACTTCCTTGTTGTGAATTAATTAGTAGTGTATTTGAGTGCTAAGCAAACCTGATCTACTGAAATAAAAATGAATGTCAAACAGATTTGCTAACCTGAGATAAACTCTAGCAGACATCATTTTAATAAAAACATATATTTATCTTTATTTTAAACATATAATTTTTTAGCCCTAAATGTTCTTGAAACTCTATATTTTCTTCTTTTGTATCACAGAAATGACTATGGTATACAAAAAGAGGAAAAGCATTAACTTTTTTGGGGGAAGATGAAGAAATTTCACTCAAGTATTTTGTTACTTTAAGATTCAATGCTAGACACTAGACCAGCTATAACATTTTCAGATAGAGTGACTTCATGCGTGAAATGATCACATACAATGAAGAGGTTTTAAAAAATACAGATGACATAACTTGTTCAGTTGAAGAAAATTAAAATACTGATATAAACTAAATCATTCTCCTCTTCATTTTAGGGGGATTTTTCTCTGCAATTGAACTGATTTATGACTAGAAAGCTGAAGACTGATTTGAGCCTCTTTAGCAATACTCTATTTCTCCATTTATCTTCCAAAGAATTATGGCTATTTTATCTCTTCCAATGAAGCTGGAAAATTATAATATGCCAGCAGATCAGTAGAAATGTAAAAATATTAGTAGTTACCCTTTTAGATCCAACTTACCTATAGTGAAATAGCAGCAATGCATTCTCTATTTGAGGACAAAACATAAAAACCCTGGCTTCATAAACATAGAGTATTAAAAAATCTCAGAAGTTTAATGTGTAGACATTTGCTAATATTTCTATATGTCTCAGAACTCAGTCTGAATCATAAAAACAGAAAAAAAATTTAGAAAACAAATTGGAAAGCATTTTTAAATCATATCCTCAAAAATCATATTTTACCTGAGACTACTTAAAAATAAGTAGATAGGAACATAGGGCCATACATAGTTTAATGTGTTTACAGTAGTCCCAAGAGGATCTCACTGTCCTCAAATCTTTGAGTTAACACTATACCTGGATATGTAAAATCCTCAAAAGTAGACTCACAACTTGTTCTTTACCAGGGCCACATGTGTCTCCATGAATGTGTCTCAAGAAAATCCTTTGAAAATGCGGACATTATCTGTTCCAGTATCCACAGTAACCCAGCAGCAATCAATAGTGCTGTTTTTGAATTGGGTTTCTATTTTGTTTTTGCTTTTTAACAAATTAACTAGCTTCAAAGAGCAGGGTTCATTGTAAATAATCTGATGAGGCTATGGTAGGAGGAAAGGTCTAGAATATAAGCTGTCATCCAAGGAAGACAGAACTGTATAGAATGGCATTAAGTGACCCTTAGTCCAATGGCCACAGTAAAGAGATTGCAATTATAAAATTTAAAAATTACAAAGTCTTCAGATGGAATGAGACAGGATATTTTATTGACTTTGTCTCCTCAAAGAGTAATAATTGGCTTGAGTTTGTTTTCTGTATTTTAAAAAGAAAAGTTAATAGTCTTGGCAAAAGACTTAAGAGAATGAATTGTGTGATTTCTTCACCTAAGCAGCAGATTTTTATCAACCAGGGAACTATATTTTTAAAGCAGTATTAATAAATCCCTCTAGCAAATTTTACAGAATACCCTTATTCATAAATGTCATGTTTATTCCTGTTTTGTGAATTTACAAAGGATTTGCAGAACTATGTGCTATTTTGGCAATTCACTAGCAAGAAAGAAAGCAGATTGAAGATGTAATACATTTCAAAATGTGAAATGGGAACTGCATAAATTAATTCCATTGCTTAAGGACAGCATTTATTTCCTCTGACACTTTACATTCCTATCAGTGGTGCTATTGACAAACACTGCACAGTTTATTGGCATCTGCTCCATATCATAAAACCCATTATTGGGTGCTATTTCAGAGCTATAGCTTTGCTTTTTGAAGAATCAAAATACCTTATCATCAGTATTAGCCTAAAGAGAATACTTTGCTATGGCCAATTCTAAACCAGCTATGTTTTTTCTTTTTAATTAAAACAACACACACACACACACACACACACACACACACGTACTATGTTAAACATTTCACTACCGTGACACATTAAGACAATGGAGCTTCATTTCAAGTAAATTATTGCGCTTCTTGCACTTTTAGTAAGGTCTCTGACTGTCCCAAAACAAAACTCCTAACCAAAATTTTCTTGGAACATGATTTAGGGGGGAGGTTTCACATTTAGTAGGAGAGCAGTTTCTTAGTATTATTCATAGTAAAAAAATAACATTTAAACATTCACTTAACAATATTGTTAGACTTGTAGAAAATGGGCATTCATTTTTAATTATATCTACCCTTTGCATAAGTTTATTAAAATAATAAGCAGCAAAATATATACTTTGCTTTACTATTATCATTGCCCACAGACATCTAGATTTTAAAATAAAATCGATTGAGCAACTAAAGTTTTTAATGCAAATTTTGTGAGTCCTTCATCCTGTAGAGTAAATATGAACAAGATATTTAATGTTCAAGATAATAGTGTAAATATAATTAGAAGAGAGAAATGTTTAGCTCCTAACAGAAAGCACCCTTTTTTTAAAAAAAAAAGCCCCTAAGTATATCAGCTAATACATTGATGCTAGCACTTATATCCTTAACTATAAACAAGATCAGCTTCTGTTAAGAACTATGCATTTGAATACTTTTTAAAACAACTACTTATTTCTAAATATAATTGGGATTAATAAAGCTATATTTAATGTTAAATGTTTTACTATTTCTGACACATACCAATTCTCCTATTATTATCAACAGTATTCCATTTGAGTCTCATTCAGTTGGAATTTTATTTCAGGGTGAGATGTGCACTGTGGATGCTTACTCTGAGTTTACTCTTTAATTGTTGCTATGCAATCCTCTATGAAAGAGGCTTAGTAACACGTCATGTACAAATGAATCAACTCTTTCTAGTTTATAAAAATGATACTTATCCCATTTCTATATTCTTATTTAACAGGGCATGATAGACCTACAACTAAAACAATGATTTATGGAGTAAAGAAGATCAGTGGCACCCTTGCTTAATGTGTATTTGTTACTTATGATCATATTCTTATTAGAGATTAGCTCTTAGTTCATTACACAAGTAAATATAATCACAACTATGTATTTCTACCAGGAGTCATTTTGCTGTACTAAACAAAGTAAATTAAAGATAGTTTAGTGACACAAGGTATAGGGGAATTTTTTATCTTCAGAACAAATGTTGATCATTTATTCCAAGTATAAAATTGAAAATGGAGATAGTAGATTTTTAGGACTGTCTGAACTTGCTGACTCAAAAGTCTCTAATATTTTTACATTAAAAATACCTATAATATATAGCATCTACATCTGTAGAGAGAAAAAGTTGATGTTATGTTGTCATTGGTTCCATATGTTTAGCCTTAGATTATATCATAATGTTTAGCCAATCCATTTCCCTATTTTTTGAAGTTTCAAAAATAGAGGATTAAAATACAATGATAGGGAAGCTATTTTGTTCTAAAGCCTAGAAGCTTTATTTGAATTATACATCCCTGCAATCCATAATGCTCAAAATAACCTTTCAAAATGTCTAGTTTATATTACCTTATTTATGTTTTTGCCAGGTATTTGGCCCATTTTTTTTCATATTGGTTTATGGCTATGACTTTTTTCTCACATACATTGTATGCTTTTTTGTATCTACATACTTTTATGTACATAACATAAATGGAGCAAATTGTAGCTTCTTGCAATTTCAAGACTCTTCTGAGAAATATATATCTTATCAAATTTTGTATTTCCTGAAATTATAAATCAGCAAGGTTGTTCGCTACACGTTCAAGATAATACATTTAATGAAATTTTATTTAATATCAACTCTATGATCCTTTTAAAGAGTTCAACATCTTTGGAATTTGCAAAACACAGATTTTGTGCCTTCTGTCTGAAGACCAAATGTGAATACCTTTCTAAACAGTAACATGGCACAGGTGTGTGATTTCAGTATATTGCTGAAAACCTCAGATGCCCTCTCCTACATTGGAGTCAGGATCTCTTATTTCCTCAGAAAGAAAATAACTGTCAATGGTTTTTATCTCTACTAAAAATAAAAATAAAATCTAGAAAATAATTTTTATATATAAGAAAAAATTTATACCTTCACAAATAAATGAATAAAATAAAATAAATTGGCTGTTTATATACAAATAAATATACAGGTGTACATAAATGGAAAATTCTATCTATGCCTTAACAAAGTCGCTATAATAAATTTCATTCAGCGTAGTTATGATCACACATTTAAAATATTATAAACTGCCTTATACTTGCCATCCATCTAATTCTGTATGTTTACCTTTCAAAAATGTGTCACTATTCACAATAACATAATGAATTAGCCCATGTTATTATGGCTATGATAGCTTGAGTTGCAAACACAGTAAGCCCGTTTATATTGAGGAACCAGAGAGGTATCACTTACTAGATTCAGGATCGGAGTTGCCATCCCCTTCAGTGCGATTGCTGGGTGTAGCACGATCAAAGTACTCCTCCTGAGGATAGCCAAGGGGCAGGCCATGAGATGTGCTGGTAAGGCTGCCTGCATCATGGTCTCCCAGTCCACCATCACTGCTGCTTTCCTGAGAGCCTTCTGGCAGGTGAAATGTGACACGCCGCTGGGACTGAAAGGGAGAATGAAAATTACAGGGTTTCAGATATGATCTGAATAATTGCTTAATGCTGCAATTTAGAAAATGCATTATTTCGGCTATCTGGTGAAGACACATTAACATTATCTTGAGTTGTGAACAATTTCAGGCTTTTGTGAATAACACAATTCTGTGTTCAAACCTTCTTCACCTGAAGGCAGTGTTGCTTCCATTATATTTCGAAACAAGGCA
Organism: Homo sapiens; assembly: GCF_000001405.40. Taxonomy (NCBI): domain Eukaryota; kingdom Metazoa; phylum Chordata; class Mammalia; order Primates; family Hominidae; genus Homo; species Homo sapiens. The sequence goes on along the minus strand of NC_000023.11, from coordinate 92,387,515 downwards.
CAGCCAGATGCAGAATGAAAGTAAACTTGTTCTAAAGCAAGAGACAGTCAGCTTTATAGCATATTTGAGCAAACTGGAAATTCCAATCATAATTTTAACATGTATTTATTTAGGTATTATTTGGCAATAACTTATTTTTTGAATAATAAGTGTGGATAAATATAACCATACTTTTTTGCTGTATCTGTAAGTTGCTAGTGAGCTGAAACTGTGAATAATAACACAAATTTATTCAATCATGTAGGCTTAGAAAACTAAAAGTACATCATCTTTTAGAAGAATCTTAGGGACAAAATTTTGAATTGGAATTTATTTACATTGATTTTACTTTCTAAGAAAAAGGTAATTACATAATATGGATAACAGTTTATGGCAATTATGAAAACAAATTATAGTTATCATCATAAATGGTATTCCTAGCAGAATATAAAAATATATATACAAATAAAAAGATAAAGATGAAGCATTTGGTTTCCGAAAGAAGAAGTTTGTAACATCTTCACCAGATCTTGTAGCAGCATTTTTGTTTGCAGCATTGCTATGCTATATGTAGTAGTCTCCAAAAATAGGCTCCCCAATGGACATCACCTCTTGATATTCAGACTTTCAAATAGCCTGAGACCACATTGAATCTGCACAGACTCTGTAATCAAACCTTGTAGCTTCTGCTTTGCACCCTTGGAAAACTCACCATGGAAAATTACAGCTGCATTGAAAGTAGTTTGAGTACTGGGAGCATGCCATACTGTGGGGAAGCTCAAGCTAGCTTCGTGGAAAGACTGTATAAAAAGAGACTACAATGCCGAGAGAGGCCCAGCTGTTCCAGCCACTCAAGTTCAGGTGCCGGATATGTACATGAAGAATCCATTATGAACATTCCAGCTGGTGGCCTTATTGGAGTCATCCTAACTATCTTCAGACATTTGAGCACCCCCTACTTAAGGCAGCAGTCATTGTGGAGCAGAAATAGCTATATCTGCTGTACACTACCTAAATTCCTGACCTAAAAATTAAGAAGGACTATTGATTTTTATGTCCCCAAAGATTACTGATGGTTTGCTATGTAACAATAGATCAACCAAAGCACTAAACTACTGGCAGCATGAAAGCTTCAAATTAGGTATAATTTATTTAAGAGATTTGCATATATCAAAGATCACAAGAATTTACATCCTAGGCATTTTCATAACAGAATGCATATGTTTTCACAAATTCAGGTCTAACAGTCAGCCATTTCTTCAGATGGAGCTATGAAAAGATTTGAATATCATACTTCAAACTTATTGGAAGATATATGAAAATATAATAGATGCATAAAATATTTAAGTAGCTCACTTGAATCTTCTTTAGTTTTTAGCCATTATTTTTTATATTAAAGTCTCAATAAAATAGGAGAAAATGACTAATGCATGTAATATGTAATATATCTTATGGAATATGTTTCTGAACATAAAATTACTTCTTCTAATGAGAAATAGTCTGCTGATTTTCTACATGTAAGTGTAACAGCCGGACAGGATTCCTTTGGGCCTCTCAGAGGGAGTAGTGGGTGGTGTTGGTTAAGGTAACTCTTAGCAGAATTAGTACGAGCAGAAAATAAACTGAATAAAAGAAAAGCTTGCTGGAACTAAGTAATATTGAGGAGTTCAGAAGGCAGGGGTTTTTGCTGTTGTTTGTTTTGTTTTGTTTTGTTTTAGACAGGGTCTCATTCTGTCATCTAGGTTGGAATGCAATGGCACAATCTTGGCTCACTGCAACCTCTACCTCCCAGGCTCAAGCGACCCTCCCAAGTAACTAGAACCATAGGTGCACACCACCACGCCAAGCTAATTTTTTGTATTTTTGGTAGAGATGGGGTTTCACCATGTTGCCCAGGCTGGTCTCGACCCTTGAGCTCAAGCAATCCACCCATCTAGGCCTCCAAAAGTGCTAGGATTACAGGCATGAGCCACCTCACCCAGCCTTGGTTTTAGTTTTTTGGGGGATGAGTGTTAGGTTGTGTGGAAGCTGTGAAGAGTGACATTGACTGTATTATCTGATTAAACCACACTGTATTTTCTAAGATTTAAAGCATTTATCAGGGAAATAATGTAACTGAAATATCTTTTTGTATGCTTTTGCCTAGTCAATATCCCTTTTTCTGTTTGTCTTTGTATCTAGAACCCACAGTGAAAAGAGGAAAATAAAAGCTTCAGGTCGTCTTCTGATCACCTCTACAGAGACATAATCCGAATGTTACCCTGAATTACAGGGCATTAAAATACATGGATTACCTAGCCTGTCAGTCATCTATTATTTATTAGTACTAAAGATATTTAGTAGGGAGCTACTGAAATAATCATCAATACTCTATTCTTCAAAAGCAGAGTTTCATAAAAGTTTATAAAAAGTTTAGTTGCTTCAACTCTAAAGTCTCAGAGTACTAAATAAGCCCTTGTGAAACCGCCTTTGCAAAATTATGACTGAGACACTGAAAGGTATCTAACCTAGCCAACTCCGTCTTGCTTCTTAACCTCCAAGCTGTCCTTGTCCATTCCTGGGAATAGGCTGAACTAACTTTGGGAGAAACTTAGTTTATAGTTTAAAACAAATACACTAACAGCCCTTTCCCAAAGCTGACCTCTTTCTTGCCTGGGGACTAGATTGCCTTTGTAAGATTAACATTAGCCACAAGATTAGTAATTATGGTTTAGGAGTCATGCAGCTGGAGGCTACAAGATTCTGACCCTCCCTAAACTGCTCCTAAGCAGTGCTTGAGATATTTTGCAGATCCTGCACTTGATGGACCAGCTGGCACCACCCAGATCGATAAACTGGCTCATCTGATCTTGTGGCCCCCACCCAGGAACTAACTCAGCCCAAGAAGACAGCTTTGAATCTCTACGATTTCACCACTGACCAATCAGCACTCCTGGCTCACTGGCTTCCCCTCACACACCAAGTTGTCCTTAAAAACTCTCTCCCCAAATGCTCAGGGAGACTTATTTGAGTAATAATAAAACTCTGGACTCCTACACAGCCAACTCTGCGTGAATTACTCCTTCTCTACTGCAATCCCCCTGTCTTGATAAATCGGCTCTGTCTAGGCAGCGGGCAAGGTGAACCCACTGGGTGGTTACATTTGCATTCTTGTAAATAAACTAACTAAAACATTGTCAATAGCTTGTTGGATCTATTTAGAAATTCATAATATATAAAAAATTTACAACATTTAAAGAAACTATCATCAGAGTGAGCCGGCAACCTACAGAATGGGAGAAAATATTTGCAATCTATCCATCTGACAAAGGACTAACACCCAGAATCTACAAAGAACTTAAACAAATTTACAAGAAAAAAACAAACAACCCCATTAAAAAGTGGGCAAAGGATATGAAGAGACATTTCTCAAAAGAAGACATTTATGCGGCCAGCAAACATGAAAAGAAGCTCATCATCAATGGTCGTTAGAGAAATGCAAATCAAAACCACAATGAGGTATCATCTCACACCAGTTAGAATGGTGATCATTAAAATGTCAGGAAACAACAGATGCTGGAGAGGATGTGGAAAAATAGGAACACTTTTACACTGTTGGTAGGAGTGTAAATTAGTTCAACCATTGTGGAAGACAGTGTGGCGATTCCTCAAGGGTCTAGAACCAGAAATACCATTTGACCCAGCCATCCCATTACTGGGTATATACCCAAAGGATTATAAATCATTCTACTATAAAGACTCATGCACGTGTATGTTTATTGCGGCACTGTTCACAATAGCAAAGACTTGGAACCAACCCAAATGTCCAACAATGATAGACTGGATTAAGAAAATGTGGCACATACACTCCATGGAATACTATGCAGCCATAAAAGAGGATGAGTTCATTTCCTTTGCAGGGACATGGATGAAGCTGGAAACCATCATTCTCAGCAAACTAACACAGGAACAGAAAACCAAACACTGCATGTTGTCACTCTTAAGTGGGAGTTGAACAATGAGAACATATGGACACAGGGAGGGAAACATCACACACTGGGGCCTGTTGGAGGGTGTGGGGCTAGGGGAGGGATAGCATTAGGAGAAATACCTAATGTAGATGATGGGTTGATGGATGCAGCAAACCACCATGGCATGTGTATACTTATGTAAAACACCTGCACGTTCTGCACATGTATCCCAAAACTTAAGTATAATTAAAAAAAAAAAAAAAAACATTTATCTACAGTTTTAAGAATGATAAACTAATCATCCTCTAGGACCCCTCTTATAACCATTAAACTGAAGGTTCAGCAAACTTTTTCTGTAAAGAATGAGATAGTAAATATTTTAGGCTTTGTGGGCCATATGATACAGTCTCTGTCTCAACTACTTAACCCTAATGTTGAAGTGTAAAAACAGCCATAGACAATATGAAACTGAATGGGCCTGCCTGTGTTCCAATAAAACTGTACTTATGGACATTAAAATTTAAAATTTAGGTACTTTTATGTATTATTAAATATAATGTTTTGCTTGAACTTCTTCATCATTTGGCTCTAAAGGCCATGGTTTGAAGACCTCTGATCTGGAAGGCTAATTTTTCAATATGGAAAAGCTGGTTAAAGATAATTATTGTGCAGTATAAAAGGGCTACTACATTAATATTCATGTCATAATTTGTTCATGACAAATTTCTGTCTGTAGCCCTGCAGAGAAGTTGTGACACAGAAATTAAAACAAATCTATTGACTGGAACAGTGACTTTATGGGATGGAAATAAATCCTGGCGTTTTCATGAATAAATATTTGCCCTGAAAAGCTAGTTATTTTCTGCCAGTAGCAGAGAGAAATAGCACAGGATACCTCTCCCTAAAATCCACACACCTCATTTTTAGCTCAAATGAATCAAAATTCCAGAACACAACAATACCCAGAAATTATATTGGTGTCATTCACATAAATCATTTACAGACTAAATATCAAATCCCCAGCATTCTTGTGTCCATTAAACCTCATGAAGGCATCATTTCATAGTAATTATCAGGTAAATATTTTTACATTTCACAACATGATGCAAGTGGCATTTTGGACAGGTTAATCTGGCACCAAAGAGGCTGCATGCAGATAGGTGACCCTGTGATTCTAATTATAGAATACTTGAGTATCATGTTAGAGAAGGCTCATTAGAATTACTTATACAACCTTGCACACGCCATGAGTTCAAACCTAATACACTCTAACCCAATCTTCCTTTAGATTCACTGTCATCACCAGTAACTCTGATTAGAAAGAGTAATCATATGTAGGGTCATTACTTTCTAAGGATTACCATATGCAAGTTTGCTTTTGATTTACGTATAAAATCTTTTGAATTTCAAACTATTAAGAATACTTTAAGATTCCAAGTTCCCACATTTTATAATAGTAAACAACCTCATTCTGAAAGTCAGAGGATTTCTGCATTTTTTTCCCATAGGTACTGTCTCTTAGCCAAATGATTTGTAATTACTCAGTATATTAACCCTTTTCATTTTTGTCCCTGTAGTCTACTAGCATAATTAACAAGATCAAACCTAAACTACTTACTCCATTGTCAGTGATGAAATAGACTTGGGAGATGATGGAACCATGGATCACATATGATCCAAATAATCATTTTATTTTTAAGAATATTAGTCAATAGTTAAGTTTTTCTAGTTGTTATTTGAAAATATGTTTCCATAAAATAAGCCACAAGTTTGGTTTGAACACTGCTTCATCTCTGGTGTCACTCCTTTATATTTGCAAAATAATTCTCCCTTTGCCATAGTTACACAACATGTCTGTTTAATTAATACATTTTAAACAAGCCAAATGTCATTCAAGCAACAGATGGTTTCTGACTTGGATTAGATGTTGGAATAATTTTGTAGCATACAACGAAAGAGGAAAAACCTGGCATTGTCATTAATGGCATAAACGCTTGGATCAAAATATTTCTTGTTTAATGTTAGTAAAAAATGCAACAAAAAGTTATGATGGTGAATAAATATCAGTTTTTAAATAATAATTATTAGAATGTATTCCTAATAAAATTGGAGAATGCACACATCGGCTAGTATGCTAGCAATTTCGTTAGTGTGTTGAGTTTATGGATAGTGGTAACATATTTGTTTTAGACCCATTCTGGTGTATATGAAACATGTTTGTTTCATCTTTTTTACCTGGTGTTCATTAGCACATGGAAAACAATTGCTGCTTTGTAATATGTGTCACTTCCTGGAAATTAATATAAGATGAATAGACCAATGTTTCCTTTAAACTTTTCTTACATTTAAAAAACATTGAAGTTCTATAATCATCATAGATAATCAAATAATAAATTAAAATAGTTGCATCTTCCAGTAATAATATTCACCAGTGTGGAAGATAGTAGCAAGCAACGTTGTGGTAAATATAGTTGTGGGTGGAGTTGTGGGGAGGAATTGTAATCAACTAATATCTGTAGTGTTGCTGTAGTCTTTTACTTGTGGATCTCTCTACAGAGGTGTATTTCTTCTAAAAGCAGACTCCCCTCTACTTATTTTCCATACAAACAAAAATATCTCTATATACTGTCTACCACACCCACATACTCCACACGCACATACACACATACACACACACGGTATTAAAAATAACCTCAAAGTGACTGACAAGTTAAAGAATTAAAAAAAAAAAAAGATCATTATGCTATGGTCCAAGGAGTAAATTGATATGGCACTGTCCTTTTCATTTTTCTTAAAAAGGTATAAAAATATACTTCTTAATTATTTCTAAATTGAGGATGGGAATACAAACTAGTAGAAAGATATAGTCTCCAACTCTAAAACCCATAAATCAATCTTATATATTTACCTCCAATATATTATTTGGACCTTTTGTAACACTACTTTTGTTGCCTTTCATAACATTTGGGAATTAGATAAGGGAATGAAAATTTGGATAAAATTGATAGCTAGCTACAGCAACCAGTAGCTATCAAGTGGTTTTCAAAACATCAGCTACGTAGAAATCACCTAGTTAATTTGTTAATCATGCATATGTCACAAGATCTTCGGGGTGTTGCTTCACCAGACAGAAACCTCTGTGGCCGATGGTGCCTTTGCTCGAGTTTTGCTCGGGCCCACTGGGCTTATTCCACCCACTCGGCTTGGCAGGCTGCACTCAGGTCTCACTACCAGCCCGGATCCCATGCCTGCCAAAGGCAAGTCAAATGCAGGGAGGAGAGGGGTGTGTGAGTGAGCAAGCACAAGTTCCGGCCACTGCGCATAACCAGGTACACTGGCTGTGGTGAGGTGGGCAGCTGCAGGTGCCAGCGTGGGCACTGGATCCCTGCAAGGCTGCAGCTGAACCAACTGTACTGCAAGTGAATTGGGCACCAGGGAACATGGTGGCACCTGGAATCTTGGAGATGCCAGGACCCACAGAGCCCCAAAAAGGGTGTCACAGCCCTGGCTCAGGGAGCTCCTAGGTCCAGGCTCCCCAAAGGGCACAGCTCTTCTCTTATGCTCTCTTCTATCCTCATCACCCCCAACGTGGCAAGTTGGGGTGGGGGGGGTGGTGTTTCAGCCCTGTTTGTGTTACAGCTCTTTCAGTCCTGCCATTTGGTGGGTCCTGAGACCTGTGTCCAGGAAGAATGAGGTATGCAGACAATTGGAGTGTGAGCAAAGTGAAGAGATGCTTTGTTGAGTGAAAGCGCACCTCTCAGAAGACACGGAGTGGGTAGCTCCTAACAGCAGTTAGGTCATCTGTCGTTTGTCCAATTCTCACTGAGTCCTGGAGTTTTTATGGGCTTGAGACGGGAGAAAGTCCATGCTGATTGGTCCATGGACAGCCATAGGCAGGCCAGAAAAAGCACGCATTCTCACTCTGGTCTGAGGAACTGGCCAACGGGCCCCCAGGCTTCAGGCCTTCTCTGACCGGAAGGTGGGACTTCACCAGGGACATGCCCTTTTCTGAGCAGAAGCCTCTATGCCTCCTGACGCTATCAATCATGTCACCCATGGCACCCACTATCAATCATGTCATCTATGGCACCCAGGCTGTTCATGCCAAAGGGCACCTTCAGGCCCATGCCCAGCTGCCCTCAGCACCCCCTCTGCTTCCCTCCCTTGTTTGTGGGTGGTCAAAGTCTGGAGGGGGCTGAGGCAGCCATAGGCATGTCAGCACCGCCAAAAGCTCACACACATCCCACCAGGTTGCCACAGTGCCCAGGCTTGGCCTCAACTTTGCTCCAAAATTGGAATGGGCAGCTGGAGAGCTGAGAGGCCAAGCAGCAGGTGCAGGCTCTTTCAAGCCTGCTGGGGCAGGAGGGCTTCCTGGGTCCCCAAGAGCACAGGATACCTGGGGCAGCAGTCCCAGCTGGGCCCCTGCAACTGCACCTGGGAGGGCGAGGCCCTCACCCCTCCAATTCAGAAGGAGGTGGGGCTCCCACCTGTTCCTGGTTCCCACAGGCTCCATGGAGCATGCAACCCTGGTCACGCCTCCCCCACTGCAGCTGGTGTCATGGCAGTGGCCACTCCAGACAGCCGCCACTGCCATCACAAATTCCTGGGTTTCAAAATTCAAATATTCTGTTCTGTTTTAGTAGGTCCGAAGTAAGATTCAGATTATTTAAGCCACATGGTCTACCATAGAGTGAATGTTTGTGTCACCCTAAAATTCATATGTTAAAACATAATCACTAATGTGATGGCATCTGGAAGTTGGCCTTTGGGAGGTGCTTAGGTCATGAGGGTAGATCCCTTATAAATCAGATTAGTGCCCTTATATAAGTGACTTCAAAGATCTCTTACCCTTTCTGCCATGTGAGTACACGGTGAAAAGATGCCTCCTTGTCTATGAACCAGGAAGTGAGCCTTCACCAGACACTGAATTTGCCAACAACTTGATCTAGGACTTCTTAGCCTCCAGAACTCTGAGAAATAAATTTATGTTGTTTATAAGCCACCTAGTTAATAGCATTTTGTTCTAGCAGCCTGAGCAGATTAAGACATGGTTCTTTGATAATTTCAGAAACATATATATTTATATGTGTGTATGAGAGAAAACTGGGAATGCTGATTAAGTTTTCTAAATATGTTTATAATAGACTCTTTTTTTGGCATTTTAATATGATCATATTAGAGTAATGAAATTCTAATGATGTCAGACTACCCTAATTAGAACAATTTTAGAATATGATTATTTCACAATTTTTATTCTATAGACATCTCCTTTTGCCACAATATTATATTTAATCACATCTCTTACCCTGACACTCATTAGAGGACCATTAAACAAGACAACTTACCGTGAAACTATGAAATAAAAACTCTCAAAAATCATTATTTTTCGTAAAAATCAAAAATAAATCTACACAAAAATATCTTTCTAAATTTATAATAATAATCATTCTAAGGCATTTGAAATCATTATGGGCAACATTTCTGGGATTTTTATTGCTCATATACCCTCTTTGTAGATCAAAAATACATTGTATTGATCAGAGAAATCATGATTACAATTTGTTTTCTGCTGAATAATTAAATTCTATAACATTCAAAAGTCATAGGATTATCTTAAAAATAAGAGACCAATTCTGAAACAAGAATATATTCACTTTTACTTGGCAAAATTGATGAATTGTCTTTGGATATATATATATATAATTTTATATTTTCAAGCCACTACATCCATTAACTATACAGTTTAATCAGTTCACTTTTAATTCACTTTAATTAGTTGCTATTACTAGAATGATTTTGCATTCAGGATGTGTTCCTGCTCACTTTTGATAAATGATACATATGATCTAGTGATGACATTATTAACACAGAGATGGCCATGGTATAATATAATGAAAAAACGTGGGATGGGGGAGCTTCACAGATACGAAATTATCTGTGGATAATTTGATCATACTAGAGTGATGCTGTTCTGAAGAAAAACTAAGACAATTGCATGGTACTATAAGGATTAAAATAAAATCAGTAAAAATATTTTTTTCAGATTATATGCTTGTGTGAATAAAGGAATCACATATTTTCTATTTAATAAGAATTGATTATTGCTTGGTACAGCCTTCATAATACAAAATTTTGCTTTTATTTACAATGAAGACAAGTTGGATCATAGGACTGTTAAAATTAGAGCTATGAATCTCATGGCATTGAAGGAAAAATATTGCTAAAAGAGATTTGTGCTTAAGAGCTCTATAAACTGTAGTGTTGGGGCACCTTCATTCATAATAAAATATTCCCAAATAAGTATAATGACTCTAGGTCCAATACTGAGTTCAACTAATGTTAAATGCAATGAGCCTTCCAAAAGTTCTGATTTCTGAGGTGCATTCAATGGTTTATTTAAGATATACAAATTGAAAAGATTACATCCTACAAGATACAGTAGGTCATATTTTACAATTTTAAAAGACTAGTGTTGTCTCTAGCTCTCTGAAGTTCCTATTAAATTTCAAAATGATACCTTTCTGTCCTTTCCACTTACACCTTGACAATTCTTCAGTAAGTAATTAACACATAGAATCTATAAAACTGTACCTGGCAATTATATAGAATATTTCCTTACTGGAAAATTATCTGTTTTTAAAAAATATTTTGATCATGTTTCCAAATGTTAATGTAAATCACAAGTGACTCATTAGTAACTGACATAAGGGTCAGGAGTTAGAACTGGTGGTACTTTGAAAACTGCCATTAGCTAATAATGTTTAAATTTAAAGAATGTTAAATTAAACATAATGGAACATTAAGTTATTGTCACAAATAAGTACAGGATTTATTTATTTATTTATTTTTGCAAAAAGTGATACTGAAAAGAGGAAGAATCAGGTGCTATTTATTTTACCTAAAGAAAGAGTAGCGCACTCCGAACATTTGCTTCTGTTTTGACATCAGCCTTTGAAATGTGTTTTATTAATCTAGACTTCACCTTCACTTAGTGATCACAGACAACCAAGCAGCTTAAAATCCTAATAGACATATGGCACAAAGAATTAAGTTAGCCCTATTGTTGAAAGATGAATTTGCTGTATATTAGTGCTGCTGGATATTTTTTTTGTTCAGTAGCTTCGTGAAAATGAAAATCATCAAATCTCTTCAGTGTGTTTGTTACATTTTGTTAGTTTTCATGCTCCTCTAAAATTGCTTATTTATGAATCTATTTAAATTTTGTTGCAGTAATGAAGCAAAAGCAAAATAATTACATCACTTTGAGAAAATAACACAAGTAACTCGATGTTAAGAGGGTAAACTCTAAGTTGGAAACTGGTCATAAAAGACGGGATAAATTCAAATTAAAGACAGTTGCTCACCCCGCAATTGATTTTTTAAAACAAGTTTGACATGTCAGTTTGTGGTACATTTTATGAAACAGATTTTTCTCTGATCCAAATAACAGCAAAATATGTTGTGATATATACATTTACAAATATGAGCTCAGACCTAATAGGGGAAAGAAGGGCATAAAGAAGATATCTTGATGGTAGGAAGAATACACACACACATGCACATGCATTCACATATGCACAGTGCTTTTCAAAAGTCTAAGCACATCAATATTTCTTAATTTCCTTCTCAGGTTATTTAAAAAATTGCCTTTAACAAACAAAACAAGGCCAGGCACGGTGGCTCACGCCTATAATCCCAGCACTTTGGGAGGCCGAGGAGGGTGGATCACAAGGTCAGGAGTTCAAGACCAGCCTGGCCAAGATGGTGAAACCCTGTCTCTACTAAAAATACAAAAATTAGCCGGGCGTGGTGGCGGGTGCCTGTAATCCCAGCTACTTGGTAGGCTGTGGCAGGGAACTGCTTGAACCCAGGAGGCGGAGATTGCAGTGAGCCGAGATTGAGCCACTGCACTCCAGCCTGGGCGACAGAGTGAGACTCCATCTCAAAAACAAACAAAGAAACAACAAAAAAAATATTAAAAGTCATGTAAACAGGTAAACACTTTAAATATGCAATAATCTTTAACTAGATACTACTAGCAAATATTTTTCAGGTAATAATTGAAAATACATATAAACATAAACTAATTCTTAAAAATATAAATGAATGGGCCAGGTTCGGTGGCTCACACCTGTAATCCCAGCACTTTGGGAGGCCGAGGAGGGTGGATCATGAGGTCAGGAGATCAAGACCATCCTGGCTAACACGGTGAAACCCTGTCTCTACTAAAACTACAAAAAAAAATTAGCCAGGCTTGGTGGTGGGTACCTGTAGTCCTAGCTACTCAGGAGGCTGAGGCAGGAGAATGGCATGAACCCAGGAGGCAGAGCTTGCAGTGAGCTGAGATTGTGCCACTGCAATCCAGCCTGGGCAACTGAGCAAGACTCCATCTCAAAAAAAAAAAAAAAAAAAAAAAAAAATATATATATATATATATATATATAAATGAATGGAATGATTAAAAAGTAAGTGAGGTAAACCCTTAACAATCTGCATGTTTAATTTTATATTTAATAATCCCAAATATTTAGGATAAATTTTCATTAACTGCACATTTTAAAAATTTTGCCTTGCCAATGTATTATGAAGAAATCACATCTAAGTTTGCTTATCCATATATTCATATAATATCAACAAAAATCATTGATTTGACAGCAATAATTTCAAGATAGTAATTAATAATTCAATTTGATAAGCCTTTGGACATTTTCATAAATTTTATACACAATTTAAATATGGATAAACAAGATCTGAATTACATTTCACACATGGTGATATGGATTATCACTTTAAAACCTGGCTCAATTGAATTCCGAAGACATTTGTTAAATGGCAACAGTGTAACATTTGTTAAATGTTGCTTATTACACTTGAACACATCTCAGATCCAGAGGATCTTTCTATTATTTTCAACTGAACCAACAAAAAGCTCACGTTGCAGAAGAATCATTCTTCAAACAAATATAATCAATTATCATACCAGAAATGTGGCATATTGTGAAGCTTCCACATCTAATATTCATTTGTTAGGAGGAAAAAAAAGACTTTTCATTGATATTCTAAAGTATTGATAAAGGTCTTCCTGACTATTACTATGCTAAGTGCAAATATCTGGAGACAAAGAGCACTCTCTGGGAGACAATGGATAAATCGTCTTTGGATAAAAGAGAAATGTTAAGATAACAAACTTGTACTGAGGCAACTTGAAGCAGTATTCTGTGGTGGAAAAGATAAAATGTGAGTTACACATAATTCAATTGAAAATAATCTTCAGAAATTTAAAATTTGGTAAATGTTTTTTAAAGGGTTGCATTATTGATTTTTAAAATTCATATTATAAAAAGAGAAATGGCCAGGAAAATATAAAGTTCCATGATTCATTTCTGAAGAAAAAAAATGACAAATATAAAAGTGAGGTTTTGAAAATGCAATAAAAACAACATAAAGACTATATGAAACCATGGAAATTATAACCAGTCACTTCATTAAATATAATTATATATAAAAACTTCAAAACAATCTCATAGGAACATGCATCCTTGGTCTTTAAAATGTCTCATTTTGTAGTGCAACATCTACAAGCAAGTAAATTATTGTTTTTTTAATTGCCACAGGAGTTGCGGTGCAAAATTGGTTATTAGAAAAGGATGAGTGCTGTGAAGTCTTAGAAAAATAGGATACAATTTCATTTAGATGAATGAAAGTAAATGAATACAGTTCACTTGTTTGAACACTGTCTTCTGTTTAAAAAATCAGTTAATTCAGTAAAGCATTACTCTTTAGTTTTACACTAAAATATGTAGGCACATTTCTAAGGATCACATCTAATTATCTTTCTGATATAATTACTTGATTATTAATGAGCTGTTTAAAAAAATCGAAGTGGTTAATACCTCAGCGTCATTCAAGAAAAGCCTACTTCCTAATTTCTCTCAGAGATTTTAAGATTCAGAAGCATCCTTTTAAGAGTTATATTCCGCTCCTTTCTTACTCTGAAATCTAATGCAGTGAAGGATTTTAAAACACATCATTCCAGAATATGCTCTTTGGCATAAGAATTATTTTGAGCTAAAGGCATTTGAAAAACAGCAGGTGCAAGAAGTTCACTCTGACCTTCATTCTGTTTCTTAACAGCAGGAGACGAAATTCCCATGCGAAAGATATCCTCTTTGTACTGGAAGGCAAGAAAACTTGTCTTCGAGGACAGAAAATTGAGACTGAGGGAAATTTGTACAAACTTTGTTAAACCAACCTTATCTTCTTAGTCACAACTCTACCCAATTAACTCCTGTAGCCCAAACCCCTTTGCCTTGTTACATTTTCACAATTTACTACATTTTGTCCAATACAGCATGTAAGTTTTCAACTCCAACTGCGACTTTGGGTCTTCATTTCCTTATTTATGAAGACTCACATGCCATGTAAAACTTGTATTGAATAAATATGTATACATTTCTTCTATTGACCTGTCTCGTGTCAGTTTAATTCCCATATCCAGCAGAAAAACCCTAAGAGTAAGGGCAAAAGTTTGCCTTCCTTTTAGCAGTCTCTAAAACATATTTTTATCTCCTAGTATCAATGTATGAATATATGATTATTTTAAAACATTTGAAAATTCATTTGATTGACATACCAACTTGAGTCAGATGATTCAATCTAGTTAATGAATAGTCATTTATGGTGTAAAATATTTTTAATTGTATAATCAAATCTAAGTGCTGGGCCTTATTACCCTGCTACGTCTCTTCAATTTAGCTGAAAATAAATGTTCTATTAATAATATAGTTTTTGATGATCTATCAATGATACATGCTTAAAATTAGTGGTTTTCAAACTTTAGACAAATATAATGTAACAATTGATAAGCTAATTATTAAATACTTATAATGCATTGCTACCTCATTTAAAATACATTGTACAAATAAGACACTGGGGATGGGGCAGTGACTGTGGGGATCGGGGTGCGGGAGGCCGCTGTGGCTGCTGCCGCTGCGTCTCCTGCTCCTGATGTTGTGGCTGTTGTCACGGGAGCTGGAGCCTCCGCCATGACCGTTTATCCCACACACAGCAAAGGCCCTAGAACTTCCGGGATCACATAGTTCCGGTCCATCTGCGGGGAGAAGACGGCAAGGCTAGGCGAGGGGAGGGGAAGGAGACTGAGGCACCCGCTCGGTACCCGCCAGCTCCACGTCGCGTCTCTGAGTGCTCTCGCCACTTGAAGAAGTCAATTTTTATATTGTATTATTTAAGCTCACTTTAAAACATATTCTTCAAAACAGGGTAAAATTGAGGGTTAGATTATAATCCTGTACCTATCAAAGAGAAGTAACAGGAGTTGCTTATCACAAAAAATAGCATATTCCCTCCCCTAAGAATCTTTTATTTTCCTTATTTTCCTTCATCATGTCTATCAGCACACTTTTGTGATGCTCTCTGAAAGGAGATCCTGATATTGATAGTCATGAATTCCTCACTGTCCTACATGGATTCTGGCTTTAATTTCTTTTTCAATTAGCATTGAGCTTAAGAGAAAGGCAGTTTATTTAGCTAGTTATCTGTTGCTAGGAATCATACTCAATAAATAAATAAAATAGACATATAATATATTTCTTACATTATAAAGAAAATTCAAATATCATCTGTATATCATAATATAATTATGCTAATTTCATTCATAGCTCCTCTGTTGGCACTATGATCCAAATCTGTCTTCCTTATATACCCAAAAGTACCTAAACCCTTATTACCCAAAAGTACCTAAACCCTTATTACCCAAAAGCCATCAAATCACCCACCCCCAAGTGGCACTGCTATTCCCACCTACACTTCTCTAGTTTATGCACAGCACATAAACATCTTCTAATACACTATATCACTTACTGATTTATTATGCTTATTGTCTATCTCCATGAGAGCAGAAGCTTTCCTCTGTCTTGTTCACTGTGATATACTCAGTACCTTGAACAATACCAAGAATGTAATGGGTAAAAGTCAATACATATCTGTTGAATTAAAAGTACACTAATGAATTTTTGAGGACTCACATTTGCAAAAGAGAGTACCATAATACCTGAGTTAAGTGACATGTCTGAGGAGTATAATGTTTTAATGAACAAACTCTTCTAGTTAAATAATGGAAACAAATTTAAAAGGTAGCATCCTCTTTTCCTACTTAAATCACTTCAAGAGTAATGAACATACAGGTAGAAATGCCAAATGGACAAGTGGAAATTATTTTCTGAATCTCATTAGAAAAGTCACCTATACTCTAAAAGGTCAGACGCAATTCGTGGTGCATATGAGAAGAAAGAGAGTTTTTAAAAAATATAATATGGTGGTAATAGTAAGTCCTGACTATGAGCAATTGCTTAAAATTTAAATGGATTAAACACCTTAATTATAAGACATTATAAGACATTACACTGGCATAGTGAATGAATAACCAGGAACTAAGTATGTACTGCCTACAATAGACTCATGTTAGAAGTAAGAACACAAATAGGTTGAAGGATAAAAGGTGAAAACAGATAGTCCATGCAAATAGTGGCCAAAAGAAAGCAATCATAGCTATGCTAATAGTAAGCAATAGATTTTACACCAAAAAACGTTACAAGAGACAAAAAAGGACAATATGTATTGATAAATGTCTATTCACCAAAAATATATAATTATTAGCATACATGCACTACATATCAGAGCTTCTAAATATATGAAGCCAACATTAACAGAATTGAAAGGAGACAGTACTACAAAAATAGTAGACTTCAATATTCCATTGTCAATAATGGCTAGAACCAGAAAGATGATCAGTAAGAAAATATAGATCTTTGGCTGGGCGCAGTGGCTCACGCCTGTAATCCCAGCACTTTGGGAGGCTGAGGCGGGCGGATCACGAGGTCAAGAGTTCGAGACCAGCCTGACCAACATAGTGAAACCCCGTCTCTACTAAAAATACAAAAATTAGCTGGGCATAGTGTCACATGCCTGTAATCCCAGCTACTTGGGAGGCTGGGGCAGGAGAATCGCTTGAACCTGGGAGGTGGAGATTTCAGTGAGCCAAGATCACACCACTGCATTCCAGCCTGGGCAACAAGGCGAGACTCTGTCTCAAAAAAAAAAAAAAAAAGAAAAAAGAACATATGGCTCTTCAACAACACTATAGACCAATTGGATCTAACAAACATATACATGACATATCACGCGAGATCAAAAGAGTACACATTTTTCCAAAGTACACATGGAAATATCTGCAGGATAGATAATATATATGGCCATAAAACTAATAGTAATTAATACGAATGAAATCATACAAAATATCTTTTGCAATCACAATGGAATGAAACTATATATTAAAGTAGAAAAAACTTGATAATTCTGAAATATGTGGAAATTAAACAACACTTTTAAGCAACTACTGGGTCAAAAAATCACATTATAAAATATTAGAAAGAAAAATCACATTAGAAAATATCTTGAGAAAATGAAAATTAAAACACAACATGCAAAAAATGCAAAAAAATTATGAGATAAAGAAAACCAGTGCTAAGAAACAATTTTTTGTAAATGATTGGATTAAAGATCTAAAATTCACAACCAAAATTTACACCTTCAAGAACTAGAAACAGGAGAGGGGCCAAGGTGGCCAAATAGGCACAGCTCCTATGTACAGCTCCCAGCGAGACCAACACAGAAGGAAGGTGATTTTGTCATTTCCAACTGAGGTACCCAGTTCATCTCATTGGAACTGGTTAGGCAGTAAGTCCAACCCACGGAGGGTGAGCAGAAGCAGGGTGGGGCATCGCTTCACCTGGGAAGTACATGAAGCTGGGGGACCTTCCTCCCCTAGCCAAGGGAAGCCATGAGGGACTGTGCTACACGGCCATGTTACTACACTTTTCCCATAGTTTTTGCAATCTGCAGATCGGGAGATTCCCTCCTGTGCCTATACCACCAGGGCCCTGGGTTTCAAGCCAAAAATTGGGTGGCTGTTTGGGCAGACACCGACCTAGCTGCAAGAGTCTTTTTCCTACCCCAGTGGCACCTGGAACCCCAGCAAGACAGAACCATTCACTCCCCTGGAAAGGGAGCTGAAGCCAGGGAGCCAAGTGGTCTCACTCAGCAGATCCCACTCCCACGGAGCCCAGCAAGCTAAAAATCACTGGCTTGAAATTCTCACTGCCAGCACAGCAGTCTGAAGTTGACCTGAGATGATCGAGCTTGGTGGGGAGAGGGGCATCCGCCATTACTGAGGCTTTATAAGGCAATTTTCCCCTGACAGTGCTAAGGAGGCTGGGAGGTGTGGACTGGGCAAATTCACCACAGTGCAGCAAAGCGGCTGTGGCCAGACTGCTTCTCTAGATTCCTCGTCACTGGGCAGGGCATCTCTGAAGGAAAGGCAACAGCCCCAGTCAGGAACTTACAGACAAAACCCCCATTTCCCTGGGACAGAGCACCTGAGGGAAGGGGAGGCTGTGGGTGCAGCTTCAGCAGATATCATCATTCCTGCCTGCTGGCTCTGAAGAGAGCAGCTGATCCTGATAAAAAGGGATTCTCCCAGCACAGCACACCAGCTCTGGTAAGGGACAGATGGCCTCCTCAAGTAGGTCCCTGACCCCAGTGCCTCCTGACTGGGAGAGACCTCCCAATAGGGGTTGACAGACATCTCATACAGGAGATCTCCAGCTGGCATCAGGCTGGTGCCCCTCTGGGACGAAGCTTCCAGAGGAAGGAGCAGGCAACAATCTTTGCTGTTCTACAGCCTCCACTGGTGATACCCAGGCGAACAGGGTCTGGAGTGGACCTCCAGCAAACTACAGCAGACCTGCAGCAGACAGGCCTGCTTGTTAGAAGAAAAACTAACAAACAGAAAGCAACAACATCAAAATCAACATAAAGGACCCCCACGCAAAAGCCCCATCCAAAGTTCATCAGCCTCAAAGATCAAAGGTAGATAAATCCATGAAGGTGAGGAAAAACCAGCACAGAAACGCTGAAAATTCCAAATACCAGAATGCTTCTTCTCCTCCAAATGATCGCAACTCCTCTCCAGCAAGGGCACAAAACTGGATGGAGAATGAGACTGACAAATTGACAGAAGTAGGTTTCGGAAGGTAGGTAACAGCAAACTCCTCTGAGTTAAAGGAGTGTGTTTTAAGCCAATGCAAGGAAGCTAAGAACCTTGATAAAAGGTTACAGGAAGTGCTAACTAGAGTAACGAGTTTAGAGAGAAACATAAATGACGTTATGGAGCTGAAAAACACAGCACGAGAACTTTGTGAACCATACACAAGTATCAATAGCCAAGCTGATAAAGTGGAAGAACGGATATCTGAGATTAAAGATCAACTTACTGAAATAAGGTGTGAAGACAAGATTAGAGAAAAAAGAATGAAAAGGAACAAACAAAGCCTCTAAGAAATACAGGACTATGTGAAAAGACCAAACCTATGATGAATTGGTTTACCTGAAAGTGATGGGGAAAATGGAACCAAGTTGGGAAACACACTTCAGGATATTATCCAGGAGAACTTCACCAACCTAGCAAGACAGGCCAACATTCAAATTCAGGAACTACAGAGAACACCAGTAAGATAATTCTTGAGAAAAGCAACCCCAAGACACATAATCATCAGATTCTCCAAGGCTGAAATGAAGGAAAAAATGTTAAGAGCAACCAGAGAGAAAGGTAGGTTACCTACAAAGGGAAGTCCATCAGACTAACAGTGGATCTCTGCAGAAACCTTACAAGCTAGAAGAGGGTGGGGGCCAATATTCAACATTCTTAAAGAAAAGAATTTTCAATGCAGAATTTCATATCCAGCCAAACTAAGCTTCAAAAGTGAAAGAGAAATGAAATCCTTTACAGACAGGCAAATGCTGAGGGATTTTGTCACCACCAGGCCTGCCTTACAAGAGCTCCTGAAGGAAGCATTAAATATTGAAAGGAAAAACCAGTACCAGCCACTGCAAAAACACACCAAAACAGAAAGACCAATGACACTATGGAGAAACTGCATCAACTATTGTGCAAAATAACCTGCCAGGATCATAATGACAGGATCAAATTCACACATAACAGCATTAACCTTAAATGTAAATGGGTTAAATGCCCCAATTAAAAGACACAGACTGGCAAATTGGATTAAGAGTCAAGACCCATTGGTGTGCTGTATTCAAGAGACCCATCTCACGTGCAAAGATACACAGGGGCTCAAAATAAACAGATGGAAGAAGATTTACCAAGCAAATGGAAAGAAAGAAAAAAAGCAGGGGTTGCAATTCTAGACTCTGATAAAACAGACTTTAAACCAACAAAGGTCAAGAAAAGACAAAGAAGGGCATTACATAATGGTAAAGGGATCAATGCAACAAGAAGAGTTAACTATCCTAAATATAAATGCACCCAATACAGGAGAACCAGATTCATAAAGCAAGTTCTTAGAGACTTAGAAAGAGACTTAGACTCCGATACAATAATAGTGGGAGACTTTAACACCCCACTGTCAATATCAGACAAATCAACAAGACACAAAATTAACAAAGTATTCAGGACTTGAACTCGGCTCTGGACCAAGCAGACCTAATAGACATCTACAGAACTCCCCATCCTAAATCAACAGAATATACATTCTTCTCAGCACATACATAGCACTTATTCTAAAACTGACCACACAATTGGAAGTAAAAAACTCCTCAGCAAATGCAAAAGAGTGGAAATCATAACAAACAGTCTCTCAGACCACAGTGCAATCAAATTAGAAATCAGGATTAAGAAACTCACTCAAAACCACATCACTACATGGAAATTGAACAACCTGCTCCTGAATGATTATTGGGTAAATAACAAAATTAAGGCAGAAATAAATAAGTTCTTTGAAACCAATGAGAACAAAGAGACAACATACCAGAATCTCCGGGACACAGCTAAAGCAGTGTTAAAAGGGAAATTTATAGCACTAAATGCCCACAACAGAGAGCTGGAAAGAAAGCTGAAATCAACACCTGAACATCAGAATTAAAAGAACTAGAGAACCAGAGCAAACAAATTCAAAAGCTAGCAGAAGACAAGAAATAACTAAGATCAGACCAGAACTGAAGGAGATAGAGACACAAAAAACCCTTCAAAAAAATCAGTGAATCCAGGAACCGGTTTTATGAAAAGATTTTTTTAAAAAACAGATAGACTGCTAGCTAGACTAGTAAGGAAGAAAAGAGAGAAGAATCAGGTAGACATAATAAAAAATGATAAAGAGAATAGCACCACTGATCCCACAGAAATACAAACTACCATCAGAGAATACTATAAACATGTCTGTGCAAATAAACCAGAAAATCTAGAAGAAATGGATAAATTACTGGACACATACACCCTCCCAAGACTAAACCAGGAAGAAGTCGAATCCCTGAAGAGACCAACAACGAGTTCTGAAATTGAGGCAGTAATTAATAGCCTATGAACCAAAACAAAAATCCCAGGACCAGATGGATTCATAGCCGAATTCTCCCAGAGGTACAAAAAGGAACCACTACCATTCCTTCTGAAATTATTCCAAACAATAGTAAAAGAGGGACTCCTCCCTAACTCATTTTATGAGACCAGCATCATCCTGTTACCAAAACCTGGCAGAGGCACAACAAAAAAAGAAAGTGTCAGGCCAGTAACCCTGATGAACGTCCATGCGAAAATCCTCAATAAAATACTGGAAAACCAAATCCAGCAACACATCAAAAAGCTTATCCACCATGATCAAGTCAGCTTCATCCCTGGGATGCAAGGCTGGTTCAACATATGCAAATCAATAAATGTAATCCATCACATAAACAGAACCAATGACAAAAACCACATGATTATCTCAATAGATGCAGAAAGGTCTTTGATAAAATTCAACATCCCTTCATGCTAAAAACTCTTAATAAACTAGGTATTGATTGAACATATCTCAAAATAATAAGAGCTAAAACCTAATGATATCATAGCCATTGTAACATCATAGCACAATGCATTACTCATGTGTTTGTGGCAATCCTGGTATAAACAAACCTACTGGCCAGGTGTGGTGGTTCACACCTGTAATCCCAGCACTTTGGAAGGCTGAGAAAGGATGATTGCTTGAGTCCAGGAGTTCCAGACCAGCCAAGGCAACATGGTGTGACCCTGTCTTTACTTTTTAAAAAAACAATACAACAACAACAACAGCAAAAACCTACTGCACTGCCAGTGGTATAAAAGTATAACACATACAATTATGTACAGTACATAATACTTGATAATGATAATAAATAACTATGTTATTGGTTTATATATTTTCTATACTATACCTTTAATTGTTATTTTAGAATATATTCCTTCTACTTATTGAAAAAAGAAAAGTTAACTACAAAACAGCCTCAAGCAGATCTTTCAGGAGGTATTTCAAAAGAAGACATTGTTATCATAGGAGAAGACAGCTCTGTGCATGTTACTGTCCCTGAAAACCTCCCAGTAGGACAAGGACAAGATGTGGAGGTGAAAAGAGCGATATTGATTATTTTGACGCTATGCAAGCCTATGCTAATGTTTGTGCATTAGTTATTAACAGAAAGATTTAAAAAGTTTAAAATATAGAAAAAAATAGAAAAAGCCCAAAGCATAAGAATATAAAGAAAGAAATTTTTTTTTTTTTTTTTTTTTTTGTAGAAAGGGTCTTCTTATGTTTCCCAGGCTGGAGTGGAGTGTCTATTCACAGGTGCAATCTTGCAGTCTTTTTAGTGCACTACAGCCCGGACTCAAGGAATCCCCGTCTCAGCCTCTCAAGTAGCTGGAATTACAGGTGCCCACCACTGTGCCCAGCAAAGAGAAAACGATTTGAGCTATAAAATGTGTTTTTGGCTTAAGCTAAGTGCTATTACAACAGAGTCAAAAGTTAGAAAAAAATAAAAGTTTACGAGGTAAAAGAGTCATAGAAAGCTAAGGTTCATTTATTACTGAAGAAATAAAAATATTCTTTCATAAATTTAGTATTAGCCTGGTACATGTTTATAAAGTACACAGTAGTGTAAAGTAATGGCCTAGGACTTCACATTCACTCACCATTTATTCACTGACTCATCCAGAGCAACTTCCAGTCCTGCAAACTCTACTCATGTTTAGTGCCCTATACAAATGTAGCATTTTCTATTTTTGTACTATTTTTACGCTACCTTTTCTATGTTTAGATACACAAATACTTACCTTTGTGTTACCATTGCCTACAGTATTCAGTACAGTAACATGCTGTACAGGTTTGTAGCCTAGGAACAATAGGCTATGCCATATAGCCTAAGTATGTAATAGGCTATAGAGTGTAAGTTCATGTAAGTACACTCTATGATGTTTGCACAGTCACAAAATCCCCTAACAAGGCATTTCTCAGAACATATTGCCATTGTTAAGTAGCACATGACTATTATATGAGGAAAGCATTACCATGATTCCAAAGCTAGACTAAGACACTATAAGAAAACTACACATCAATATCTCTAATGAAAATCCACAACAAAATACTTTAAAACAGAATTCGACAATATATTAAAAAGGTTACACACCAAGACTGAGTAGTAATTATTCTGAGAAGAAATGCAAAGACAGTTCAACATACAAAAATCAATGACTGTACTATACCACCTAACAGAATGAAGGGAAAAACATACCTCATCATATCAATGGATGAAGAAAAACATTTGACGAATTTCAATGCTCTTTTATGATTTTAAAAAAAACACATTAAACCAAGTACAAATACAAGGAAACTATTTTAACATTATATCATATATGAAAAGCCTGCAGCTAATATCATATTCAATGGTGACTGTCTGTAAGATTTCCCTCTGAGATCAGGAATAAGATAAGGATAACTGCTTCCACCACTTGTATTCAATATACTACTGGAAGTACTAGCCAGAGCAATGAGGCAAGAAAAAAGAGTGAAAGTCATCTAAATTGGAAAGGAAGAAGTAAGTTTATCTCTGTTTTTAGATGGCATGATATTAGATGTATAAAATCCTAAAGATTATTCAAAAAAAAAAAACCTGTTAGAACTAATAAGTAAAATCAGCAGAGTTGCAGGATACAAAATCAGAACCTAAAAATCAGTTAGGTTTCTAAACACTAACAATGAACAATATGAAAATAAAATTAGGAAAACATTTCTGTTTACAATAGTATCAAAACAAGAATATATGTATGTATAAACCTAACCAAAGAGGGGAAAGGTATACGCTGAAAACTACAAAATTTTGCTGAAACAGATGAAAGAACACACAAATAAGTAGAAAGCTATTCTATGTTCATGGATTAGAATACTTAATATTGTACATGGTTCAACACTTCCCAAAGAGATCTACATATTTAGTGTAATATCTATCAAAATCTAAAAGGTGTTTTTTAGAGAAATGGAAAAATCCATCCAAAAAACATATGGAATTTCAAGAGACCTGCAATAGTGAAAACAATCTTGAAAAGAAGAATAAAGTAAAAAGTCTCACATTTAAGTTACTTGTAAACTTACTACAAATCTACAATAATCAAAATGGTATGGTACTAGAATAAAGACAGATAAATAGACCAAAAAAAATAGATTAGAGAACCTAAAATTAAAGGTTCACATGATAGGGAACCTAAAAACAAAGGCTCAAATGATTTTTATCAAGAATGCCAAAACCATTTAATCAGAAAAGAACAGTCTTTTCAACCAATGATATTGGAAACCTTGATACTCACATGCAAATGAATGAAGGTGGACCCTTTCCTTACAACACATACAGAAAAACTCAAAATGCAATAACATAAATGTAGGACCTAAAACTATAAAATTATTAGAAGAAAACAGAGAGAAAAAACTTCATGACATTGGGTTTGGCAATGAGTTCTTAGAAATAACGACAAAAATATAGAAATAAAAGAAAAAATAGATACATTTGACTACACAAAATTTAAAACTTTCATGAGTCAAAAAACACAATCATCAGAATGAAAATGCAACCTACAGGGTGGAAAAAATATTTTCAAACCCTACATCTGGTATATGGTTAATATCCAAAACATCTAAAGAACTCATACAACTCAACATCAAAAATAATAAATAAGTAAATAAATAACTCCTTTAAAAAATGGGCAAAGGACTTGAATAGCCATTTTCCAAGGAAGATGAACATATGACCAGTATGCACACGAAAAGATACTCAGCATAACTAATAATTAGGGAAAAACAAAACTATATTGAGATATCACTTCACACCCATTAGAATGGCTACTATCAAAACATAAAATAACAAATGTTGATGAGGATGTGAAGAAAGTGAAATCCTGTAAACTGTTGGTAGAAATATAAAATGGTACAGCCTCAATAGAAAACAGTGTAGCGATTTCTCAAATAATTTAATGTAGAATTACCATATGATCCAGAAATTCTATGTCTAGATATGAACACACAGAAGCAGGGTCTCTAAGATTCAAGTGTACTCCCTTGTTCATAGCAGAAATTTTCAGAGTAGACAAAAGGTAAAAGCCACCCAAATATCCAGTGACAGATAAGTGGATAAACGAAATGTGGTATACACTTTAAAACGGAAGGTATTTTTGACACATGCTACAATGTGGGTGTACCTTGAGAATATTATGCTAAGTTAAATAACCCAAAAAAAGACAAATAGTACATGAGTCCACTTATACACGGTAACAAGAATAGCCAAATTAATACAAACGTAAAGTAAAATGGTGCTTGCCAGTGGCTTGGGTACCAGGAGGAATGGGGCATCACTGTTTCATGGGTAAAGAGTTTCACTTTTGTAACATGAAAACAGCTCTGGAGATGGATGATGGTGATGGCTGCAAAACAATGTGATGTACTTAATGCCATTGAACTGTATACTTAAAAACTACTACAATGGTAAGTTTTATGTTATCTGTATTTCACAACAAATCTTTTAAAAGCTAACAGTGGCATATTACAAGTTATCAGAGAGAAGAGAGCATTTGTAAAACGGGGATAGTAAAAAAAAATCTAATGAATCAGGGATTTTCAAAAAGCTATGGACTGAGAAATGTCACCTGAGTTTGGTCATCATTGGTTTTCTTTAAGGATATAAAATTGGAAAAGATAATTCTTAGTTGCAAGAAGTTAAAGAGCTGATGTGTTATGACAGCAGTTATAAAATTATCTTTTAAATTGTTTGGAGGGAAAAGGAAGTGAAGAGTTTCAGCAAATGTCTGAAGAAAAAGTAGGGCTTAGGATGTTTAGAATTATTTGTCTTTTAAAATAATAAAGACCTGATCATGTGGAGAGATATAGGAAGACCAAATAGAGAAATAACTTAAAGATGCAAACAGGGGGAATTGAAAGGAGAGATATACTTCTTTCTCAAAGACAGTAACCAAAATAAAGACAGTGAAAGGAAAGATTCAGAAATATTCTGAAAAGTATAGACAAGAGAAGGTGAAAAAAACTGGTTTAATTATCTCAATCTCCTAAATAAACAGTAATTGAGATAATACCTGGCAAATTGTGAGTGACGTAACATGGGACTAAGAGTTTCAAATGAATAAAATAAATAAATAAATCAGCTTCTTTGGATAATGTGTTAAGAAATAATAAGAGATTTAATTAAAAAAAAAATACTGCCCAGAGGTGCCAAGAGCCCTGATACAGTTAGAAGTATGAATTTGTAGTGGCCCAACACAGGCCATTTTAAGAAATATATTTTCCAGCAGTTTTGGAAATCTGGGAGCCAAACAGCAAAATATTTACTTTTTACTGATTTTTTTTCTTGGTTTTAAAATGAATGACACCTTAGTGAGCTAATGAAGACCTGCAGTGCCCAGAATAGTGCCTGCAGCATATAGACACTAAGTAGATTTAGTTGTATGCAATGTCTTTTTAAATATGTATGATGTAGTAAAAGACAACTTTGACAAAAAAGCTAAATGAGCAGTTTTTGATGATATCTAGAAAACTTACAAATGAAGGGAAGAAATGCATTTCTACTCTAGAGATCTAAAACATTGTTTTGAGTTGGCTGATCTCCAATATTTTCCCTGCAATGTTTTAAAGAATCCCCACATATTATAATTGATCATTTGAGTTATGCATATCAAATTTAGATAGGACCAATTTCGAGAAAATAATGTTCTATTTATTTATCTCCTGTGCAATATACATCACAAATTCAAAATATTTTGCGCGTTAAAATGTTCCAGTGTTTCAAACGCTGTAGAAATGCGAATGATGCTATCACCCTAAAATGATTTTTAAATGTAAGGGAACAGTAACATCAGAAAAGCAAGAAATAAAGCTGTATTTCACTTTTACAAAGTATAAAGCACTGTATACAAAGTATAAAGTATAAAGTACTGTATACAATGTGTAAAGTATAAAGCACTTTACAAAGTATAAAGTATAAAATACCCTACAAGTACTTCTAAAATAAGGAAACAATAGGAATTAATAGTTTTGAAATGTTGTATCTTAAGCTTTGTAAAACTTACACTTCAGATCTTTTATATTCAGATAATTTATTTTAAAAATAGTTGCCTAAAGAGTGAGAAAATAAGGATGCTAACAATAAAACTTGATGGAGAGATTAATTTATGCTTAGTCACATAGATTTGTTTGCTGTTACAGACAACTCATTTGAAAAGGCATATTAAATAAGTATTTGGTACAAGGCACTGAGGAGGACTAAAATTACTATTATTTTCATGGGTCAATATTGTGTTTTAAGGGACACTTATAAAGTTAACAGAAGCATCAAATGCTTCTACCCACAGTGGAATAAACTACCTATAGTATTCTATCTTATATGATGCTCTTAGGTAATAGTGGTGTTTGCTTGCTATAGTAAGATCTAGTTACCATGTACAAAACCTAAAATGCAATGATGAAGAGATAGTTAGATATCATATGCTTGCAGCTGCTGAATTACACATACTTTAGTTTATTTCTAGCCCTGTATATCTCAAATGGCAGAGCCAATCAAATCTATTGTGTCACAAAATAAATGAGATATTAGGTCGGCTGAAAACACTGGCTTTTGATTCACTGAATTTTATCATAGAGACATGAACTTTGCTTTAAACTAAAGTTTAAATTCCACTAGTTTGCTTTTATCATACTGTGTAAGAAATTAAATACAACAATCCAAGCTGTTCATTGTGTGCATGTACCAAGGGACATATTTACCCTTAATTGTTGTGAGAAATCTATTTAGATGTTTTAAGCTAAGGTAGTACCTTATAGACTTTTCATTACAGTCAGTTCTCACAGTGCTCTTTCTTTCCTTCTGATCAATAAATTTAAATAATGAGATACCAAATTTTACTGTATTAGTGGTCATCAAAAATAGCCAATCACTTCTGCACACTCCAAAATATGAAGATAACTCATACACAAAATAATGCATGTTTATCCTCCCCCAAATTAATCAAGTTGAATATATATATTTTTTCTAACAAAAGGCAGTTTGGCACAAAAAAAAACATAAATGAAATTAGATGAAAAAATAGCCACGCCTCCCCCAGGCATGAGGAACCGCCACTCAATGTGTCACAATTAATTTACAGGGAAAATGTACACTATAGATACTGCCTTCTGATGACAGCTTTTCACAAGAATCAGATTGTAAGGCTGAAGGACTGCAGATTAGTGAGAATTGATGAAACCATAAATGTCCTTGCCTTATTGAGATTATATAGCCTGAAATAGAAACTTCCTATAAGCAAGTTCCTTATGAGAAGAATTTATAATAGATAAATATGAGAACCTACAGATCTCAAATTCTAGATGCTAAAAGAAAATAAAAGAAACTAACAGAGGTGGAATAAAATATTATTGTTTGTCCAAGATCATATTTTTGTCTCTATCTGTGAGCATGATAGGTAGAGGAGTTTTTCTTGTCTGTGACTACCCAGGTTGTGTCATTGGTAACTTTAGCACTAGGAGAAATAAAGTAATTTAAGTCACAGTACAAACCGGGTTATTATGGGCAAAGAAATATGTAATAATCAAGTTTCTAGGCTAGCACAAAGTCTACCTAAGCAAAAAAAAAAAATCAAAAAACTTACCAGAAATATTATAACATTTTTCAAAAAAGTCTAAAAAGTATCCATTTATGACCTAAAAGGATCTGACAATAGCCAAAAATGTAGATTCTACATTAGATGAATGCACAGATTCAACATCTTTGTGTTTTCAGTAACAGGAGTTCTATTCTCTTTTCACCATTATGTGTGTGGTACATCATAGGCACTCAAGATTATTTGTTGATGAAATGGATAAATGTGTAAAATAAGAGTCTCTAGAATCTTTACTCCATGACATCAATGACCATCTGTATCTAATGATTATTTACCTTCAGTGCAGTTAGATGTCTCTTCTGAGATTTAGACCTATAATTTTTTTAGCTATGGAATCCATTCCAGATCTACAACTGTTTGCTTATAGACATTTCAAAATCAACATATCCGAAACCAAAGTCCATATTGCCCTTCCCTCAGTCTTCTGCACTTTCTGTTTTTCATTTCTTGTGGGTCCTTGGCTTTGGCCCCATAGACGTCACCAATTATTGTCCATTCTACATCCTAAATATGCCCAAAATTTCTTCCTTCCTCCATCCTGCATGCGTTTTGCTTTATTCCTACATTCATTGCCTATGACCAAAATTTTATCTGCAGGTAAAACATAAAATAAAATATATCCTAAAAAATTAACTTTCAATATATTCAATTCTCTTAGGTATAAAAAAACAGACATAACACTGAAAAGATACATAATAAATTAAAATAGATTTATACTTAATGAGATCGATACAAGTAATACAGGGTATCTTAATTTGTTTAGCCTCCTATAACAAAATACCATAAACTAGATATCTTATAAACAACAGAGATTTATTTCTCACAGTTCTTGAGTCTGGGAAGTCCAATATCAAAGTTCTGACAGATTCATTGTCTAGGAATGGCCTGCTTTCTGTTCATAGAAGGCTCTTTGCTGTGTCCTGACTTGGTGGAAGAGGTGAGGGGACTCTCTCAGGCTTCCTTTATATGGGCACTAATCCTATGCATGAGGACTCCACTCCTATGACCTAATCACCTCCCAAAGGCCCCACTTCCTAATACTATCACCTTAGGGGTGAGGATTTTAACATGAATTTTGGTAGGAACAAACATTCTGACCATAGCACAGGGTAAAAGAAAGACTAGATTTCGTTTTTCCAAATTAGTTAAATGAAATAAAGAAATATATTCTCAATCATAAGAGTTAGTGAGAAAGACAATATTAGGACATCAACATGCATTATTTTCAAATTCTTCCTGATCATCAATTGTGGTGACCACATTCATCTGCTTTATTATAATGAAGCAAGGAGAAATCAGGAATTTAAATTAATGACTTACATTCTTACATTTTCTCTTTTGAGCAATATAAGTTATCAGGCTTTTTTTTAAAAAAAAAAAGTGAGGCCTTGGGTGATTCATTCAGAAAAAATAAAAAAGGCCATTCCACTCGCCATTGAGAATAGACGTGAATTTTTGAACTTTGCTCCATCCTCAGCCACCTGCTCTTGGCATTCAGTACTTATTGCATTTTCACTGTTGCACAGGAGCCACATTCTCTTCAAAGGGGTGCATTTCCTGTTGCCTTCCATGATGCCAATCTTCATTATGGTCCCTAAATCACCTAGAGTGGACAATTTTACGTGGCCCATCTCTGGAAAATAGCAATTGCTGTGTAAAGATGATTTCACTTTAAGTAAATAACTATGGGAACTGACATGGCCAAAGACCCTACTCCAACGATTACAGCAATTCCCTAGTATGATACTCTGTGCCACATTCTTTAAAAGTTTGACTATATTTACCCAATGAGGTTGAAAGATATAGGATTTAAGCTGTTACACTTTCTTACACGGTGATTATGGAAGCAATAACAAAGTGATAAGAAAATAAACAAATATGATTACCTTACTTATAAGAGGCAGTCCCACCCACATTACAAGCAAATGTGTTCTCTGCTTTCATACATACTATTGTATTCTTGCTGCATTTGCTGTTTACCAAGAGGCGAGTATATGGGTTTTTAATTTTATTATTACAAGGCGATTCTACTCTAAATTATGTTGTAAATATAGGGGAAATATTTCGAAGAGTGAATCACTTAATAGTTTTAAAACTGGGGATATATAGTTAACTTAATAGAATTTATATGACATATAGCCAGGCATATTAGAGCTAAATTTGGTATTATTTCTTTCCTTCTTCAAAGAACTCAGTTTTAGGTAATTACATACCACAGTTTTTAGAGACATGAAACATTTTAATGTGGTTAATGGTTCCTTTTTATAAAGTAATATAACTTGCAGTTTCTTTGCTGGCAAAGGAAGACCAGTCTGTGGAGAAAGTAAATGAATTCTTAGTGCATCAAAGAAATAGAGAAAAACAAATGTTATAACTTTTGCTTCGCTCTCCAAATTATCTCCTAGGATTCCCTCTGGGGAATACAAGTTGAAACATTTACCAGGAGCATTGACACAGAAGGAGCTTCTGGTGATCTATTCACTCTATATATACACGACTTGTTCAGCTGAAGTACGAGGCTGTACAAGTAACAAATCTCAGGATTATTTAAAACATCATTTAAAGTGGTTTTTTTTTTAGAATTTGCAATGATTATATGAAAATATGTGAAACAGTATATATTTATACAGTCTTAACATGAGATAGCACGGTTCTCTGATTGCAGTGATCAGTCACAAATGTGCAAAACTATATTGCAACATGAAGCTATATTTCCTCCAAATCCTTTCAAATGGACCCTTAGGATCCTATTGCTTGGTCATGATCAAAATTGGGTAACTGTAAGTCAGATATAGAACATGAAATATCTATAATAGCTCCTATGATATTTGCAAAAAAAATGCAGGGAAACTCTAAAATTTACAATGGCAGTATAAACTACCGTGAATAAATGAAGAAACAATTCATGTTAAAACCATTCATGCTTTAATAATATATCTTTGTAATAAAACTGATAAATGTATGTTTTATTTGTAACCTTCAGATGTATTAAAGAGTTTTGTTTTGGTTTTGCGTTACTTTTAATAACGGAGATTCTGCTTCAACAATTTCTTTTTTTTTTTTTTTTTTTTTTTTTTTTTTTGAGACGGAGTCTCGCCCTGTCGCCCAGGCTGGAGTGCAGTGGCGGGATCTCGGCTCACTGCAAGCTCTGCCTCCCGGGTTCACGCCATTCTCCTGCCTCAGTAGCTGGGACTACAGGCGCCCGCCACTACGCCCGGCTAATTTTTTGTATTTTTAGTAGAGACGGGGTTTCACCGTTTTAGCCGGGATGGTCTCGATCTCCTGACCTCATGATCCGCCCGCCTCGGCATCCCAAAGTGCTGGGATTACAGGCGTGAACCACCGCGCCCGGCCTAATAATTTCTTTTAATGAGAAGTAGTCAACTTAGATTTTATCAGATTCCAAGGCAGATAAAGATGACAAGAATAGCAATTTCTTTTAGAAACTGAAATCAATAAAAATTATTAATTCATTAGAACTCTAACTACAGACTAGTATAAATGGGGACTATTTATTTCAACGATGCTGCTATTGTTCACAACATTTTGCTGTTTCTCTTTCAGATTTATCTTCTGTGCTATGCTATGAGCCACACGAGTTCACTGCCATTATTTTATTGATTGACCTCACATTTATCAAGGCGTTTACAGCTTTATGATGCTGAATTTCTCTCTTTTACTGAGTACCTACTAATGTCTGAGAATTTTTCTTTGTGCCTTTAGTATAACTTCAGCTAATTTCAAATATTTCATTTTCTCCTTGACTGTATTTGTTAACTAACACTTGCCTTAGTGATGAAAAAAAAATCCTACATTGAATTCTTCATTTATAGTAATATTTGGAGTACAGAATTCATAATAAAAGGAGTTTGTGGAGTAGGAAAAGCTCCAGAAAATGAATCAAGAGACCTAAGCTCCAGTTTCACTTCTTGTTCATGTAAATCCAGGTAATTCATAACTAAGTTGGCATCAGTTTTCTCATCAATCAAAAGAGAGGGTTGGGTATATAATGTCTTTCTAATATCATTTTTCTCTCTAAAATTCTATGGTTTTTGTAGGAATACATTTACTCAAGGCAAAAGCTCCAATCCATTTAGAATCCAAGATCAGTAGATGGAGTACAAATATAAGATACTGCATCTTCAATATTAAAACTTTTTATTGTATAAAGGAGAAAGTCATGATAATGATGAAGAAAATTATCGTTTCAGTTGTAGGGCAACTGGAAATAGCTTATTCTCCAAATGATGGTAAGGTCATGTAGTCAGATTGAGTTAATATTTCCAATTTCCCATTGTTTGAAAGCTACAGAGGTTTCCATTTAAACACTTCACATGTCTTCTTTAAAATCTATATGATTCTTTACAGGCAATGTCTAGGAGTGGACTGATGATCTTAAGAAATCATAACATCTTTTCCATTATTCGATAGCTGTTGTATCAGTAAGTCAGTGTGAACAAACCTCTTCCATACCCAACACAATGGAAGCTCAACTACAGCAGATTCCAGATGAAGGGATGAATCATATACAGTAGAGAATTATGAAGTGAGCTAAGGAAAAATAGATTTTACCTCATTTAACAGTGACTAATATGATGCTTGCAGTAACTAAACATGCAATGTTTAATACCGTGTTAAAAAATTTGACTCAAGGCCAGTGTAGTCCATTCAAATGTAAAGATAATATAATTATTTTTACACTATAAATAACATTGATAGCAGTAAGATAAAATAGAATTTCATAGTTACAGATCTTAGAAAATTATTCGATGTGAATGTTAAAGATAGCTAAAGAAATGGAAAGAAAACTTACTATATGTACCCCATAGGTTCAGGTGATATAAAATATTTCCAAATGAAATTGAATATTGTTAGTTTACATGAAATTAAAAGACGTCATGCATTAGTCGAACCTACTCTGAGTCATTCCTGAATGAATTATTCTGAAAGCAAAGAGGCGTAAAATGATTTATTTGTGAACCTACACAAAAGAGCTTTGTAGGAGTAGAATTAAGTTGATGGAATAGTTTATAAGAAGCGAGTCTTGTAAATTAGAAGTAATTTTAGTTCTTGAAACAGATATATCTGATTAGGGATTATTGTATTTTAGGACTGAAGAACAGTTGACCTGCGATTGCAGTAAAGTAAACATCATACTGAACAGAAGTTACTCAGAAGTTTGAAATTAACTCACAAGTTCTTTCTTCCACTTTGAATTGAAAATCATCTATGGAGTTCAAAACCTGCCATCAGTGAAATAAAAATCCTAGAGGAAGATGCCAATTTTCATTGTCTATCAGTGCACAAATATTTCATGACAAATGAGAATAATGAGTTACGTGGGTGAAATAAATGTGTTTTGAAGTACGAGAGCATAACAAGACAAGATAATACATGGTCACAGGTCTGCAATTTTTATGCACATCTTGATAAGCTGTTCTGGGTGGATACTGAGAAAAATGGTAGATAGAAGGCAGAACTAAATTGCAGCTCCCACTCAGACAGACAGAGCAGCGTGTGGAGACTTGAATCATGGACTTTTGTTCCAAGAACTACTTCAGGAATATACTAGGAAAGCCAAGAGAATCCATAGACACCCTGAAGAAAGTGGATTGCTCCTACAGGACCTGGGAGACAACCAAAACACTGTGCTGGTATTCACAGCTGAGAGACCTGAAGATGGTACACATCACAGGACTCTGTCTGTGCAGACAACCTAGTCCTGCTGGGTGGCTAGATCCAGAAGAGAAATAACAATCACTACAGTTTAGCTCACAGGAAGCCACATCCCTAGGAAAAGGGGAGACTACTACATCAAGGGAAAACCCCAGGAGGCAAAAGAATCTGAACAGCAACTTTGAGCCCCAGATCTTCCCTCTGACATAGCCTACCAAATGAGAAAGAACCAGAAAAGCAATTCTAGTCATATGAAGAAACAAGGTTCCTTAACATGCCCCAAGAATTACACTAGCTCACCAGCAATAGATCCAAACTAAGAAGAAATCCCTGATTTACCTGAAAAAGAATTCAGAAGGTCAATTATTAAGCTAATCAAGGAGGTACCAGAAAAAGGTGAAGTCCAATTTATGGAGATCAAAAAAATGATACAAGATATGAGGGGAGAAATCTTCAGTGAAATAGATAGCATAAATAAAAAGCAATCACAACTTCAGTTTATATGTTGAAGGAATAGCAACTAAGTTGACATCAGTTTTCTCACCTATCAAATGAGAGGTTTGGGTATATAATGTCTTTCTAATATCCCTTTTCTCTATAAAACACTATGTTTTTTTGTAGGAATACATTTACTCAAGGCAAAAGCTCCAATCCATTTAGTATCCAAGGCCAGTAGATGGAGTATAAATATAAGATACTGCATCTTCAATATTAACAATTTTTTATTCTGTAAAATAGAAAGTTATGATAATGATGAAGAAAATTATCATTTCAGTTGTAGGGCAACTGGAAATAGCTTATTCTCCAATTGATGGTATGGTCATACAGTCAGACTGAGTTAATACTTCCAATTTCCCATTGCTTGAAAATAACAGAAGTTTCCATTTAAACACTTCACATGTCTTCTTTATAATCTATATGATCCTTTATAGGCAATGTTTAGGAGTTGATTGATGATCTTAAGAAATCATAACATCCTTTCCATTAACTCATAGCTGCTGTGTCAGTAAGTCAGTGTGAACAAACCTCTTCCATACCCAACGCAACGGAAGCTCACCTACAGCAGATTCCAGATGAAGGGATGAATCATACACAGTAGAGAATTATGAAGTGAGCTAAAGAAAAATGGATTTTACCTCATTTAACAGTGACTAATATGATGCTTGCAGTAAATAAACATGCAGTGTTTAATTACATGTTTATTTAACTGTGTTAAAAAATTTGACTCAAGGCCAGTGTAGTCCATTCAAATGTAAAGATAATATAATTATTATTACACTATAAATAACATTGATATCAGTAAGATAAAATAGAATTTCATAGTTACAGATCTTAGAAAATTATTCAATGTAAATATTAAAGATAGCTAAAGAAATGGAAAGAAAACTTACTATATGTACCCCATAGGTTCAGGTGATATAAAATATTTCCAAATGAAATTGAATATTGTTAGTTTACATGAAATTAAAAGACGTCATGCATTAGTCGAACCTACTCTGAGTCATTCTTGGATGACTTATTCTGAAAGCAAAGAGACGTAGAATGATTTATTTGTGAACCTACACAAAAGAGCTTTGTAGGAGTAGAATTAAATTGATGGAATAGTTTATAAGAAGTGAGTCTTGTAAATTAGAAGTAATTTTAGTTCTTGAAACGAAACAGATATATCTGATTAGGGATTATTGTATTTTTGGACTGAAGAACAATTGACCCGTGATCGCAGTAAAGTAAACATCATACTGAACAGAAGTTACTCAGAAGTTTGAAATTATCTCACGAGTTCTTTCTTCCACTTTGAATTGAAAATCATCTATAGAACTTCAAAACCTGCCATCAGTGAAATGAAAATCCTAGAGGAAGATGCCAATTTTCATTGTCTATCAGTGCACAAATATTTCATGACAAATGAGAATAATGAGTTACGTGGGTGAAATAAATGTGTTTTGAAGTACGAGAGCATAACAAGACAAGATAATACATGGTCACAGGTCTGCAATTTTTATGCACATCTTGATAAGCTGTTCTGGGTGGATACTGAGAAAAATGGTAGATAGACGGCAGAACTAAGTTACAACTCCCACTCAGACAGACAGAGCAGCGTGTGGAGACTTGAATCATGGACTTTTGCTCCAAGAACTACTTCAGGAATATACCAGGAAAGCCAAGAGAATCCATAGACATCCTGAGGAAAGTGGATTGCTCCTACAGGACCTGGGAGACAACCAAAACATTGTGCTGGTATTCACAGCTAAGAGACGTGAAGACGGTACACATCACAGGACTCTGTGCAGACAACCTACTCCTAGCTGGGTGGGTAGATCCAGAAGAGAAATAACAATCACTACAGTTTAGCTCACAGGAAGCCACATCCCTAGGAAAAGGGGAGACTACTACATCAAGGGAAAACCCCAGGAGGCAAAAGAATCTGAACAGCGACTTTGAGCCCCAGATCTTCCCTCTGACATAGCCTACCAAATGAGAAAGAACCAGAAAAGCAATTCTAGTCATATGAAGAAACAAGGTTCCTTAACATGCCCCAAGAATTACACTAGCTCACCAGCAATAGATCCAAACCAAGAAGAAATCTTTGATTTACCTGAAAAAGAATTCAGAAGGTCAATTATTAAGCTAATCATGGAGGCACCAGAAAGAGGTGAGGTCCAATTTAAGGAAATCAAAAAAATGAAACAAGATACCAGGGGAGAAATCTTCAGTGAAATAGATAGCGTAAATAAAAAGCAATCACAACTTCAGTGTATATGTTGAAGGCATAGCAAGCAGGCCAGTATCGCTAGAGCCAAGGGAGACCAGGAAAGAGTACAGATGCTTCTAGACTTACGAAGGGGTTATGTCCTGATAAACCCATTGTTAAGTCAAGGAGCATCTAAATTGAAACTATCTTAAGTCAAAAATGCATTTAATACACCTAAGCTGCCAAACATCATGGCTTAGCCCAGCCTACCTTACCGTCCTCAGAACACTTACATTAGCCTACATTGGACAAAATTAGCCAATACAAAGCCTATTTTATAGTAAAGTGCTGAATATCTCATGTAAGTTCCTGAATACTGAAGTGAAAGTGGAAAACTGAATGACTGTATGCATACTCGAAGTACAATTTATGCTGAATGTGGATTACTTTTGCACCATCATAAAGTCAAAAAATCATAAATTGATTCATCATAAGATAAGGACCATATATAAGAGGAAAGGAGGTCAGAGAAGAACGGAAAGGGGAGGGGACAAATGGTAGCGGGACTTGTAGAACATGGTAAAGTATTTTAACTTTCTTTGAGAGAAATGGGAAGCAATTGGTGGGTCATGAGCAGAAGAGTGGTGTGATCTGAGTTTTAAAGGATGGTTGTGGCAGCTTGATTGAGAAATGACTGAAGAGGTCAAGGTTAGAATCACAGAAATCATTCTTATATAAATACATGTTAGGTAAATAAATGAACTGCAAGTGAGAATGTATACTTTCTACATGTCCAATTAAAATAAATTTTATTCTGTTGTTTAAAATGGCTATTATTTCATAAAAAGCTAAACATTATTTTCAGTTACCTATAAAATAAACAAGAATTAATTTTTTGCAATTTTAAAAATGTAAATATCCAAACAATAAATTTTCACTATTTCTTATCATAATTAGATACATTATATAATGGATATTTAATAAGCACACAGTGGCTTAAAGCATATAAATACATGCTTAAATATAATATGTATTAGTAATGTCCATTTCAACGAGATCTAGAAAAAAAGTTACAAGGTTTGAGTTTCTATGAGCTCTACCAGCTATAGTCACGTGCACAGAGCTACAATTATGCACTAATACCCATACATGTCAGATGCTCATAGATACTTGTAGAAAGAACATTCCACATTTAGAAAGTAAGTGCAGAAAATTTTGACTGCTGTCAGGAAGCCAGTAGTGCTGACTATGATCAGTGTCCCA
The DNA here is from genome assembly GCF_000001405.40 of Homo sapiens. Classification (NCBI taxonomy): domain Eukaryota; kingdom Metazoa; phylum Chordata; class Mammalia; order Primates; family Hominidae; genus Homo; species Homo sapiens. The sequence continues at coordinate 92,348,868 of NC_000023.11, read as the reverse complement.
TACATTATTTGTTCCTTATAATTTTGATAAGTGGCCAGGCGTGTTGGCTCACGCCTGTAAATCCTAGCACTTTGGGAGGCCGAGGTGAGTGAAGCACCTGAGGTCAGGAGTTCGAGACCAACCTGACCAATATAGTGAAACCCTGTCTCTACTAAAAATACAAAATTGACTGGGCGTGGCAGTGCATGCCTGTAATCTCAGCTACTTGGGAGGCTGAGGCAGGAGAATTGCTTGAAAGCAGGAGGCAGAGTTTGCAGTGAGCCGAGATCACACCATTGCACTCCAGCCTAGGCAACAAGAGCGAAACTCCGTCTCAAAAATAATAATAATAATAATAATAATAATAATAATAATAATGATAATTTTGATGTTTGATTTCTCTGAATTAAAACATCTCATAGATGAATGGTCTCAATCCCCGAACTTGGATTTTGGATGGTTACAAAAGAGAAAGCTGTACAGCATATTGGTTGAGATCCTGGGCTTGGGGAGTCAGATAGACCAGGATTAGAATCCTACTCTGGCATTTACTACTTTAACACAGCCTTTGGCTTACAAGATATAATACTTATTTGTATCTTTTGTTTTTGTTTCATTTTGATTTTCTGACCCAGCCCGGGGCTGGATCATTGGTTGCTAGTAGTCCAGAACTTCACCAACAGACGTCCTCAGAGCTGAAAATAACAAAGCTGATTCAATTACTTCAGGAACCGTTTTGCTTCAGCTTTAGGAATCCAGGTGACAGTGTTGTGTGAAAGAACAGAAAAATGCCAGAGTTTGGTGGAATGGAGTGGGTTCTATAATAAATCACCCTAATTAGAAAGCTTGTGGCTCCAGTGTCTGTTAAAACAGGACACTGACTGAAATCAGCCCTTGTTTTCTTTTTGAATTTCTCTCTGGCTCTGATGTATAATGTCTTTTTCTTTCATGTAATCTCTATGGTCCATAAACAAAAATGATATTTGTCTTCAAAGATAGCATTAAATTGCAAAATTATGCTACTTGGAGAAAATAAGAAAAATTGATTTGCAAGTCAATTGAAGACCCAACTATTTCTGTGGAATCTACTATGTATATACTACAATATAGATAATAAGCAAGAACAATAAAGGGTTTTTAAATGTACTTTGCTCCAATGTAGTTTTAACAGAAGAAACTATCTATGAGGTTATAATGGAGGATATAGACTTGATGCCATGACACCTAGGAATCCAAGACCCTCATCTGCAAGAATGGAAATAGGTTGTGATGAACTATGTTGATGACATAAACCTGGGTATAAATGGTTTAGAGTGTCTCTGAAGGTCAGCTGCTTTCCTTAACACTCAGGCATACTTAGAGAATTCATTTCTACCCGGAAGCCTCTTAGATTTTGAATTAGGATTTCAAGTAATCTTCATTTTCTCCAGACTATTTTCTTCTTTGTCTTCTAACTGTCAAAATTTTTGTTGAATTAGAAGACTATAAGAGCATCCGAAGGAGAAAAAAAGTCTTCTTTATGAACTATTAATGCCATGTTTCACATCAAACATTTCATTAAGTCAAACTATGTGAATATATAATGACATCTAGTATTCTATAATTTCTGAAATTACTTATTGAGTTACTTGTCAATGAATAAGTTATATGATTATTGATTAATTTGACATTTCTAACTAGTAGTAACATGGTTTATGTCTGAGCTTGTACACATACACAGATATGTCCACATATGCAAATAATTTTAAAATATATTTTATAAATCAAAGTGTAGCTGCAACTCAATACATACTTAAGGTTATAAAAGAATTTTAAGCATATCTAAAAACATAGAAAAGATTATTTTAGCACAAAAGTCACATAATATACGTATATAATTCAAGGGAATGACTCAAAAGTGATTTAATAAACCTTAGTTTTTTTTACCACCAATTAACAGAAAATTAGTAGGAAACCAACTGAAAATAACTAGATCTTACTGGATACCATGTAATACATTTTCTAGGGAAAAATATGCTACAAGACATCTTCTTTAAGGTTTCACTACCGTAGAAAATACATATTGGAGACCATGACATAGCAGTGAATTAAAGCATTATTTATTCACATAGTAACTAAATATCTATGGCTGCCACCATGAGGATGGACTAGGATAGGCCTCTTTGACTAGAATGAATTATTGAACGTCAAGTAAAAGAATCTAATAAATTTCTTTGCAATACTTAATTTTGGTAAAAAGTCAAGATGCATGGGCATTTATTATTAAATGTTGATTGTAGTCTACTACGTATGTTTTCACTTAAAAGTATAATTCCACGTGTCGCTTGTAAAATTTTAATACAAAGTGTTATTTTCTGAGAAGATGGTAAGATAAAGTTCAAGGTTTTGGACTTGTGCAGGTTTTATTTATATTATGGGAAGAGGATGACTGGAAGCAGAAATAACTCATCTTGCACAGAGGATCCATCTAGTAAGTTATAGAGTATTCTATTATTGCCAAGTTTAAGGGATTATACATCTTGAGATGTAAAATGTAGCAAAAATGCTCTCCATCAACAAATTACCCACGAATCCCCATCTGAATGGTTCACTGACATTAAACAGACATTGCTATTTTAAAAGACAATAAGACTGACTGATAAAAATTCTATGACCTTTCCTTTCCCTCTTTCTTCCACAACAAAAATGGTCTACTTCAAAATGTCAAGGAAGGCATAAGAACTTAATCTTGAATCTGTCATATGAGTTGATGAATTCATTGCCAATATAGCATTGGCAGTCGTTAATGTACATGCAAGCGTCCCATCTATATTTGCTGCTTCACTTAAGTAAAGAAAAAGAAGATCTAAAACCTATCATTGGAAATTCAAAACAACAACATTTTACTTTAAAATTGGATTTCTATGTATTTTCTCCTTAGATTTCATATATTAGGATTCTTTTGCTATATTAGCTACTCACACATTAGAAGCTAGTACTTTTATCAGAAAAAAAAAAAAACAGGTACTAACTTTGATACGTTTCTGATATGTGCTCAGGGGTGTCTAATTAGCTTTCAATACCATGTCTCCTGTGTTTTCATATTCTGAAAAATAATGAATGAGTTTATTAAGGTAACTTGCAGAGTAACTTCAAATAACAAATGAAGATGACAGACGTAACTTCATGAATTCCTATAATGCGGGAAGGAAAAAAAATAACTATCAAGACAATGAACTTATTTTATAAAACAATTTTTTTGAGATTTCTTCTGACATTATTGCAGTTATTAAAACAAATACAAATTAAAAATTAACGTTATTCTGGATTTAATAAAATCTGTTTAAACAATTTTTTAAAACTCATTTTTTAATGTTTAAGACATTTTCTAATATTCTGATTGTGTTGAGAATATTTCTAGTGTAGAGTTGGGGCCAGTGGGAAAAAGAGTATAAAGCTTCATATTCTAAGTCATTTTCTCTGTGGTTGTTCTTTGTAATCCCTCCAAATTTATTATTTTCAAGCTAATTATTATTTACTTCCATATAAAAGTAGCTTCCCTGTATCTAACCCAGTGGGAGTTAGATGATATGTTTATGTACCCTGTCTATAGTTGAATTATTTCATGTTTCTGAGAAGCAAGTAACCTAGACACAACAGTAAAAAAATACGTACCAAATTGAAAAGGAATGTTCTTCGTATCCTCTTCAGCTCTGTTTTCACTAAGGCTATATTATTGTATCTTCATATTCTCTTTTGTTTGATTAATAAGATTTATAAGTTCTCTTTCCTTCAAAGAGCTCAAAAATCAAGACAAGTAGAAAAGAACTAGTAAACATTTGGAAATCTCTGAAAAATTTAGGTAAAAAAGGAAAAGAAACAGAGAAAGAATATTTTTAAAAAGGAAAGATGAAGGGCAAGCATTTCCACCTATTCATCATATTAGCTAGCAACACTGTATAGCAGGAAATAGCCCTATTCCTGCTTTTAGAAGCGATAGTAGACAGTGCTCTGTTACATTCCTGAATACTCTTATCAGATTTATCCTCATTATTTTATTTTCTTTCCATTCAACATTATTAATTATTACTTGGTGCTATTACTTCTGTCATTGGCCCTTTTCTTTATTTCTTATTCACCACTGAGTTTATTGCATAGACATTAATGTTAAAAGACAATACAGGAGTAGCTTACAATCAAAATGTTCTTGAGAAATGAATTTATCTTATTTCTTTATCAAGCATCATTAATTTTCTCTGCCTTGTTGATGTATTTATGAAATCTATAAAAGTTATTATGATCAACAATATTTCTACGATGCAATTCTATAGTACAACTATGGAAAATGTAAAGGATAAGATTTTATTTTTACAAGTGGTTAGCACTACATATAATGTTGTTTAAACAAAATCCCCCTCATCTATTCCAGAAAGTGGAGGAGAAAAGCAGCCTATTACAAGGGAGAACTCAGACTGAGACAGAAGATACAGATTATGCTTCTCTATCTGTCTTGACTTACTACCTGACCTTGATAAAATAATGTTAACAGCCACATTGTTAATTAGCTTATAAAATAGTTAATGACATTTTCTTGCTTTATGCTGCCTAATTATTAATTAAATAATAACTTTAATTTGCTTCTACAGGCATGAGGAAAGGTCCAGGTGGATATAATCTTCAAACATCATCATTCATTAGCCTCATAGTCTGTAAGTCACAAATTATTCATTTATGGAGTCCCTACTATATCTAGAATAACGGGCCAAAATAATGTGCCTAGCATGAGGAAAGGTCCAGATGGATAAGATCTTCAAACATCATCATTCATTAGCTTCATAGTCTGTAAATCACAAATTATTCATCTACTGAGTTCCTACTATATATAGAATAATGTGCCAAAACTTGAGGACCCAAAGAACTTAGGAGACAGGGGCAAGAAAAAAAAAAACGTTTGTATAACCAGCTTTCAAGAAATTTAAAATCTAATTTAGGGCTAGAATACACAAAGTAAACTTTTCTCATCTAGCTAAGTTTGTAAACACTCAGTTATATAGACATTGTCCAGACTCAACAGAGGACCCACTTCAGTTTACATATAATGTATAATTGAATGTCCAAAAATAGCATTGAATGCTATTGAGGTGGGTATTAAATTTAGCAGTATTATTTTCACAAGCTTCTTGATTAGAAATAATTTTTAAACGTTATTGCTAAAGGCACAATGTATTTTTTGAAATACAGACTGAAAATTTCCACTAGATAATTCAAAACTAGTTTGGTAAAATTAAAAATTGTATTTAATATGATTCTCTTTTTCTTGAAAGGCAAAGTCATTTCACATAAAGAAATACACGTAGATATATAGCTTTATATAAAACATTTTATGTGTGTTCCCTTATGATAATGTCCAATATGGGTAATTCTGAAATAAAACCTAAAATGCCACTACAGGTTTAACAATTATTACCTCCTTTTTTCCCCACTCTTTACTGTAATATTATCCACCACATCAAAGGGTAAGGTGAAAACCGACTCAGTAAAGCTATTCTGAAAGCAAGTCTGAATTTCTAAGTGCTTTTGGTTGATTTTTAAAATGGTAGAACTATATAGGCTTATACCAATATTCTTCAATTGATTTGTGATAAGTTCTATTCTACCTAACACTAAACAAGGCAGATGGAATTTCCAAAATGAATCTGACCTTAAAGATTGGCCTTCCAAACAGCTTTGGTGCAAACCCATTTTGAAAATGGACTTTGCCTGAAGGCTGTCCTTTACACATTTAAAATGAGACAGCTATTTGAGTTTCAAATAATGGTGTTTAGTCCCAAGCCAACTTCAGCAAACAGTCTTCATCGTGATTCTGATTATATAAAACACTTAATTTGATTAGAAATATTCTCATGTTTGGTCAGCTATCTCTCTTGGAAAATGTTTCATATTAGCAATTGGAGAGCACAAAATAGAAATCATTTCATCATCTATAAGAAAAGATAAATGGAATAATATAACTACCTTCACATATTCTTTTCTCTTTTTTGAGTTTATTTTTTTCTATTTTTATTTTAAATTCAGGTGGTACATGTGCAGGTTTCCTACCAAGGTATATTGTGTGATGCTGAGGTTTGGAGTATGAATGAACACATCACTCAGCTAGTGAGCATAGGACCCAATAGGTACTGTTTCAACCCTTGCACCCCTCCCTCACTCCCCCCTTTTGAATACTTTAGTGTCTATCATTCTCATCTTTATGTCCATCAATGTTTACCTCCCACTTATAAGTGAGAACATGCAGTATTTGGATTCTGTTTCTGTATTTGTTCACTTAGGAAAATGGCCTCGAAATGCATTCACATTGCTGCACAGGATATGATTTTGTTCCTTTTTCACAGATTCGTAGTATTCCATGGGATATATGTACCACATTTTCTTTAACCAATCCACTGTTTATGGGCATCTCGGTTGATTCCACATCTTTGCCATTGTGAACAGCACTGCAATGAACATATGAGTGCATGTGTCTTTTTGGTGAAATGATTTATTTTCCTTTGGGTCTATACTCAGTAATGGGGTTGCTAGGTTGAATGGTAGTTTTCTTTTTTTCATTTGTTGTTTGTTTGTTTGTTTGATAATCCTTGAAACTGCTTTCCACGGTGGCTGAACTAACTTACATTCCCCCTAGTTGTGTATAAGCACTCCCTTTCCTCTGCAGCCCTGCAACCATTAATTTTTAACTTTTTCATAAAAGCTATACTGACTCTTGTGAGATGATATTTTATTGTGGTTTTGATTTGCTTCTATCTGATGACTACTGACGTTGAGTATTTTATCAGATGCTTGTTGACCACATGTATATCTTCTTTTGAGAATTTTCTGTTCATGTCCTTTGCCTATTTTTAGTGGAGTTATGTGTTTTTTGCTTCTTGAGTTGTTTAAGTTCCTTAGAGATTCTGGATATTACTCCATTGTTGGATTTGTGTTTGTGAATATTTTCTCCCATTCTATAGGTTGTCTGTTTATTCTGTTGATAGTTATCTTTTGTTATGCAGAATCTCTTTAGTTTAATTCGGTCACACTTGTCAATTTTGGTTTTGGTTGTGATATAGTTTGGATATGTGTCCCCACCCAAATCTCATGTTGAACTGTAATGCCTAATGTTGGAGGTGGGGCCTGGTGAGAGTAATTAGATCATGGAGTCGGACGACTCACGAATGGTTTAGTACCATCCTATTGGTGTTGTCCTTGCAATAGTGTGTGGCTTCTTATGAGATCTGGCTGTTTAAAAGTGTGGCACCCCTGACTTGCTCCTGCCCTGGCCATGTAAGGTGCCTGCTCCCCCTTCACCTTAAACCATGATTGTAAATTTCCTGAGGGCTCCCCAAAAGCTGAACAGATGCCAACCTCATGGTTACTGTGTAGCCTGCAGAACTGTGAGCCGATTAAACCTCCTTTCTTGATAAATTACCCAGTCTCTGGTATTTCTTTATACAAATGTGAGAATGGACTAATACAAAAATTTGGTATCAAGGAGTGGGTATTTCTATAAAGCTACCTGAAAATGTGGAAGCGACATTGGAACTGAATAGCAGGCGAAGGTTTGAAGAGTCGGGAGGGCTCAAAGGAAGACAGGAAGATGAGGAAAGTTTGGAAGTTCTTAGAGACTGGTTAAATAGTTCTGATCAAAATGCTGATAGTGATATGGACAATGAAGTACAGGCTGCCGTGTTCGCAGATGGAAATGAGGACCTTATTGGGAAATGAAGTCAATGTCACTTTTGTTATGTCTTAGCAAAGAATTTGGCTGCACTGTATTCATGACCTACGGTTCTGTGGGAGTTTGAACTTGAGAATGATGATATAGAGTAACTGGCAGAAGAAAGTTCTAGCAGCAAGTGTCCAAGAAGTGCTGTGCCTGCTCCTAACAGCACATGTTCAGATGTGGGAGTGAATAAATAAGTTGGAACTTATATTTAATGGGGAGGCGGAGCATAAAATGTTGAAAAATTAGCCAAGTGTCAGAAAAGGAAAAAGCTTTTTTGGGAGAGGAATTCAAGCAGGTGGTGGAGCAACCACTTGCCAGAGAGATTTGTATAGCTAAAAAGCCAAGGGTTGATTCCAAGACAATGTGGAAAAGGCCTTGGAGGCATTTCAGAGACCTTTGAGGTAGCCTCTCCCATCACAGGCCCTGAGGCCTAGGGGGAAAGAATGGTTTTGTGTGCCAGGACCAGGGCCTCACTGCCCTGCATAGCCTTGGGACACGACTCCTCACATCCCAGTTGCTTTGTTTCCAGTCTCAGCTCTAAGGGCCTCAGATACAGCTCACACCACTGCTTCAGAAGATGCAAGTCATAGCCTTGGTGGCTTCCATGTGGTGTTAAGCCTGTGGGTGCACTGAGTCAAGACTTGAGGCTTGGGATCGTCTGCCTAGATTTCAGAGGATGTATGAATAAGCCTGAGTGCTCCAGCAGAAGCTTGCTGCAGGGATGGAGCCCTCAACAGAGAAACTCTAGTAGAACAGTGCAGAGGAGAAATGTGGGGTTGGAGCCCCCACAGAGTCCCTACTGGGGCATTGCCTAGTGGAGCTGTGAGAAGAGGGTCACTGTCACCCACTGAGAGCTCATACTGTGCACCTGGAAAAGCTGCAGGCATTCAGTGTCAGCCCAGGAGACCAACTGTTGGGGCCAAAAACCAGAAAGCCACAGGGACAGAGCTGCCCAAAGCCTTGGGAGCCCATCCTTCCCACCACTGTGCCTTGGATGTGGGACATGAAGTCAAAGGAGACTATTTTGTAGCTTTTAAGATTTAATGACCATCCTGATGGTATGGGGTCTGTAGCTCCATTCTTTGGCCGATTTCTCTTTTTCGGAATGAGAATGTTTACCCAATGCTGGTTTTTCCATTGTATTTTGGAAGCAAATAACTTGCTTGATTTTACAGGATCACAGGCAGAAGAAACTCATCTCCAGATGAGAATTGGGATTTTGGACTTTGGAGTTAATGCTGAAATGAGATAAGATTTGGGGGGACTATAGAGAAGGAATGATTGAATTTTGCAATGTGAGAAGGACATGAGATTTGAGGGGGCCAAGAGTGGAATGATATAGTTTGGATAAGTGTCTGCACCCAAATCTTATGTTGTATTGTAATGCCCAGTGTTGGAGGTGGGGCCTGGTGGGAGGTGACTGGATCATGGGGTTGGATCCCTCATAAATGATTTAGCACCATCCCCTTGATTCTGTCCTCACAATAGTGAGCAACTTCTTGTCAGATCTGGCTATTTAAAAGTGTGGCACTTCTCTCTTGCTCCTGCTCTGGCCATGTGATGTGCCTGCTCCCCTTAGGCCTTCCACCGTGATGGTAAAGTTCCTGAGGACTCCCCAGAAGGTGAGCAGATGCCAGTATCATGCTTCCTGTATATCCAGAGGAACCATAAGCCAATTAAATCTCTTTTCCTTGTGAATTACCCAGCCTTTGGTATTTCTTTATAGCAATGCGAGAATGGGCTAATACAGGTTGCAATTGCTTTAGAGGACTTAGTTGTAAATTCTTTCCCAAGACAAATGTTAAGAAGGGTATTTCCTAGATTTTCTTCCGGTATTTTTATAATTTGAGGTCTTACATTTAAGTATTTAATCTATCTTTATTTAATTTGTGTATACAGTGACAGATGGCGGTCTAATTTCATTCTTCTGTATGTGGATAGCCAGTTTTCCTAGCAGCATTTATTGAATATGGAGTTATTTATTCATGGCTTGTTTTTGTCCACTTTGTCAAAAATCAGATGTTGGTATGTGTGTGGTTTTATTTCTGGGTTCTCTAGTCTGTTACATTGGTCTTTATGTCTATTTTTGCATGGGTATCATGCTGTTTTCATTACTGTAGCTTTGTAGTATAGTTTGAAGTCAGGTAAGGTGATGCCTTCAGTTTTGTTCTTTTTGCTTAGAATGGCTTTGACTACTCAGGCTCTTTTTTGCTTCCATATTGTCTTCATATATTTTATTCAGTTTATGTTGAATTTCACATAAAAGTAAATAAATTCAAATGCATAGCTTTGAGCAGCCCACCAGTAGTTAGAAATAGAGAAGAAGCAAGGTATATACTTTAAAATTTTCTCTGATACCTGAGCTTCAGGACACCAACCAACATGACCCAGCCACTTACGCAGAGTAATTGCTAGCAATAAAAATGAACAACTTGATTTGATTGCCTATTGGTTATTTACAAGCATTTTCCATGCTTGTGTGTTTCTATTTCTGCCACCTGAAGACCAATGTCATGTTGTATAAAATTAGGGGTGATTGTCTCAGTAAGTGAATATAATTTGCTCTAATAGATAGTGATAGGTAGTGGGGTCTAAATCCAACAATAATTCAAGGCAGAAAACAGTATTATGTGGTGAAATGCTTCCAACATTTGGAAAAGAATGAACTTTATTTGTATGCAATCTCATGAATTGGATTATGTGCTTGTACTTGTTTTTATATAGCCTTGTCTCAGTCTCCAGGCTCAAATTACTCAATTAAAAAAAGGAACATTGTGACAGTCCACAGCTGCGAAGTCTGCACTCTGCTATCCCAACATGGATTAAGCTAATCAATACAGAGTGTAGCCTAAACTCTCTAAAATACCAGAAGCTAATTTAATAACTGTCTACTTAAGAAACAAGAAATTAATATAACATTTACTTAAGACAGTTATTTGAATAATAATCTTCTATGTGGAAAGATTGTCAGCTTAATTTATTGTTTTATTTGAAAAGGTGATTTAAACATGAGAACAGATCTTAGAAAATTGAATTATGACTTATTTTATGAATATTGGGTTTTCGTTTTAAAACATATTTAAAGCATTAACCATCCCCAACACCCACACCCCCCCAACCCTCTCACTACCCTTCTCAGCAAACTGAATAGGCAAAGATATTTCTATTTATTAGTTATGGAAATTTATATGTAAGAGGGGACAATATAATGTAGAGTTTAAGAATATGTCTAATCAAAAGCTGTGGGACTTTATCTGCATTTCTTAGTATGGATCTTTAAACATAATAAACACTCTGTAAGTGGTGGATATAGATACAGTATTCATTTTGCCCACAGTAAATCCCCGTCTTTTATACACATATTCATATTTAACATCTTTAGAAAACCCTGAAGATGGTCTTTCTGGAATCAAGACCTGGTTACGCCAATTAATCCCTAGGAATCTACTCAAATTACTGAAACAGACTTACTCACTTTCTTCTCTGTAATCAGGTAGGCCCTCATATCAATACATATCTCTATTACACAGTTTGTTCATGTTGCATTACATATTTAAATTATTATGTCTTTCTTTCTTAATTGATTATGAACTTTACTCAAGCTGGGACCTTGTCTTATTCAGCTCTGTATCCCAAGACCAAGAACAATGAGTACATCCAGGACATTCAGTGTTGAATGAATGACCTATGAATGTCAGCATTTTTTTCCTGTGATGCTAATGGATACAATGTAGTGCTTTCTCTGAAAAACTAATGGATTGGCAGAAACCAGAGGTCTATTAACTTACCAAAGGGAGCAAGAACTCACTATTACTTATCTGCTATAAGCAAGCCACAGGGCTAGATGCTTCCAGAGAACTTGTGGAATTCATCAATATGTTAGCAGTACAAGGCACTGGGATCTTGGACTTGGATCATGGTGGGAGCTTGCCAATTAACAAATGCAAATTTCCTACCTTACAAGACAAACTGAAAATTGCATTCCACTGGCCATATATGCAGCCTCAGTGTTCCGGCTATCTCCAGTAACTTTTCATCTACATAAAGATCACAAATGGTTCTACTATGTATTAAACATGTCATAGTTTAAGTAGTATAAATTCACTGTGTGAAGGCTGAGAAATACTTCACATCTACATTTATTTTTGGAGAAATCTGATGTCACTTGGAGTGGGACATCAAATATTTAGAGCCTATCAACCCCTCCAGTGTAGACATAAAACTAGAAGACAGCGCTGTAAGGAACCGAATCAAAAAGTAACTTGTATGAATTGTTTGGTAGGGCTGAGTTTGAGTCCTCAGACACTATGACTATTTTCTTAAAAAAAAACCTTATGTTACACACTTTGCTGTGAACTAATTGGCTCAAAATTCTTACTGAAAGAGATGCAGCTACAAAGAGATAAAAGCTGTCCATGCATTGCGTGACTCATAAGTGTGAGAAATATTTAGAAACTTTGAAAACTTTGAGTGAATTTGAGGTCAAGTAACTGTGCAGCATACAGTTTCCACTACAGCATATGTGGCAAAAATCAATGGATTCACAGCTTAATCAAAAATGCCCTAACAAAAAATTCTAAATATATATATTCTTGAATTTAATGAAAAAGTTTTCATATGTTGTCAGATTTGGGTTTTGAAATTTACAAGGCTGAAATAATGTGAATGATCAATTATTAATGAAAGACTTTGACTATATTTTTCACATATATGCAATAAACAGTTTTATATATTTGTTATCAGAAACATGGACTACCTCTGGTTTTCTTTAATAAATGCTAACTATTTCAGCATTACAATGAAAATCTTGAAATATCTTGAAAATATCTCAAGATTCAATTTTATGACCTTGAAGTCACCTTATTTCAGAATAATTTTGTGTGTGAATCCTCCAGACAGATTAAATTTGAAAAAGGATCTTCCATGCATGTCAAATGTAACATAAGAATAAATCAAATTATTTTCTTATAATAGTTATTATGTAATTTTGACATATTTATATGACAACTTCCTTTTTTTATTTTTTTCTATTTTGATAATTTTGGTAGATACCTTCCTTGTAATTTATAAAATGAGCACAAACAAAATCACTAAGATAATTGCTATAGCTGTTCTCTTGTGGTAGGTGTCATCTACAAACATTTAAAATACATCTCAAAAGTGAATTTCTAATTGATTATAGCTTTGCTACTATGACCACCAACGGCATAAAAGTAGATCAATTACTGCAAAACTTAGATATTAAATAGAAAAGGTAGGTATTAACTGTCAAATCGTGATCACTGTTGTAAATATTTTAGAAACACACACACACCCAATATCTATCTATCTACACACGTACATGTATTTATTTATATGATACTGGCTAGAAATTAATGACCTCGTTGTAGTATAGTCTTAGCCTTACCAACAAAGTACATTTAAGGAAATTTTCTGCACAATGTTTCTAGTAGTTGCTTTTTGTTACTCATTGTAAGTGTGATTTTCACACTGTTTGGAAAACTCAGGCCTGCTCCATTAACAGATGAAGTGTTATTGATCTGATACTTGCAGATTAGAGAGGAGTTCATTTTCACCCTTTTGTTATCATTTGGTTGCTACTAGTCCAACAATGGATTGGAAAACATGCCTGTGCATGCAAAGCCCATTCGAGATAAATAGATTTCGATTTCCTTCAAACGCCTTGATTTTCACTTATTTTCAGACAGCTTTCAGGAATGAAAGCCTAGAGCACATTACTTTCAGATTCCTGATTATAGATGCAAGCATGATTTAAACTTTAGAAGCTACTTACACATGAATGAAATAAAAAAAGCAATCTCAAATAAAAAAGCAATCTCTCATGTTGGATGAAGAGTCACTCGAGGTCTAAAATTATGAACTTTGGTGTTCATTTGGAACTGAAGGCAGTTATTTCTATGCTTTGGGCTCTGAAAAAAAAAAATTGATTTTACATAGATTCAAGGTGGTTCCATGCATCCAATGTTGGGAAAATAATTCCTTGTCTTCATGCTAAAAAAGGAAAAGGGGGTTTGGGAATGTCAGAAATAGAGTAAATTGTGTTTTTTCCCTTACCTGTAAATGATTGACTATAAACCCTAGACCCTGAGAGATAGGCAATATACAGTTGACCCTTGAACAACAAGGGTAAGGGGAACCAGCCCTTCTTACACCTGAAAATCCACATATAACTTTTGACTCCCCCAAAACGTAACTACTAATAGCCTACTGTTGACTGAAAGCCTTACCGATAACATAAACAGTCGATTAAATCATTTTGTATGTTATATGTACTACCTACTGTATTCTTATAATAAAGTAAGCTAGAGAAAAGAAAACCTTATTAAGAAAATCATAAGGAAGAGAAGATTCATTTAGAGCACTATATTGTGTTTCTCGATACTATAAGTTTATCTTGTCTGTTTACAAGATGAATCAGTTGTATGAAATGGCGGGCAATGCAGCTGCCAACCTTAATCTATGGCACATGGCAAGCAATTCAACTTTTTCCTGTAATGGCATGACTTTTCTCTGCTTTTTGGGAGTACTTCCAGCATGACGACTGGCACTTCGTATGGCTCCCATGGTGTTATTGAAGGTTTATGGTATTGCACTAAACATGATGAAATATACACAAGAACTGAAAGATCACTTTTTACTACAATACACAATTTACTAGAGAGAGAACTGCTCACTTGGAGATGATTAGCATCACAGGGAGTTTAAAGGAGATACTTGCAACACTTCAGCTCACTGTAATAGAAATAGGAGGTGACTATGAAATTATTACAGTAGTACAGTGTTTACTACACTAAACTCATGCAGTTATAATTTAATACTACATCTTTATGTTTGATTATATCACTCTCAACTGCAAATGGTGCTGTGTATGGTCTGTGTTTCTGCGTGTAAAGTTTGATCAATGTTAATATTTTATTAAAGATTTGTGTACAATTTATGGTAGTAAATGATAAAATAGACTAGTGTCTACATTTATTTTATGCATTCATGGCATACCTTTTTCTTAATAATTTCAATTTTTGTAGGCTACACAGTTTGTAAGTTTTTCCAAATTGTCAGAAATTTCAAAAAAATTTACAGTATTCATTGAAAAAAATCAACGTATAACTGGATCCATACAGTTCAAACCCATGTTGTTTAAGAGACAACCACAGTCTGAAAGCGAATGCTATTGTCAGAGCCTGAAATGCAAATGGAGACTTTCCAAGGCAGCCAAACTAGAACAGCACAAAGTTAAAGTAGATCCCAACTCAAACTTTCAACACTGATAATAATTTGCTGGTTTTCTATGAGAATAAAATACTTTATGGTTTTTCTGTCATTGAAGATGTTAATAAGTGTGTGTTGCTTAATTGAACTTTACTTTCCAAAAATATCATAGATGATTTATATATGCTAAATTGGTATCAAAGACTGAATGGAACAAAGTATATAAACCAAATTAGGCAAATTGTCACCTGAAACTAAACAATTAACTTGTCCTGGCTGTCTACAACCTCTACTCAGATAATAAAACCTGCTCTATGACCACCTTCCCTCAGGAAAGTTCTAAAAGTGAGTTCTTTCAATATCTTGACTTATGTTGCTGCACATGGGCTTATAGCAGGAAATTCACTTTGAGTAAATTTCTGAATAGCGAAAATTATTTCCAAAGCAATTTTTGGGAAATTGAACGCTTGATAAAACATTAGTTATTTAGTACAGAATGCTGCCTCGAACAGGTAGGAATAATTTCATCACTCTATGACTCATACAGGCATCAATTGTCAGCTCTATTACACAAGCCATAAAAAAGAAAAAAACAAAACAAAATATCTTCTCATGCAAGACATTAGGATTTAAATCTCCTGTAATTCAAATACTTTATACGTATTAAGCCATTTAAACTTCACAACAACGTTATTCATCAGGTGTCAATATCATCATGCTCATTTTGAAGATATTAAAATTAAGTCACAAAAGTTTTACATAACTTATTGAAGTTCTTATTGTCACTTCATGGTGTGAGTAGGCATTAAACCCTAATAGTTTTTAGCAAAAATAAGGGCATGAAACTAATTCCTTCTGTTGCCTCCCATGTACATGTTGCATAAATGCTTCTACCCTCACAGTTTCTAACCTGGGATTTAATATGACAGTATTTCTTATTTGGTAACCCCTCTGAATGCCTAGACATAAACCCAAGTTGTTAAGTTTCCACTGGGTCTAACCCAAATTCTCAACTTTATTCTAAACTTTAATATGCATCAGGATAAGCTAGCAGTCTACTGAAACATCCATTTTTGAGGCTTATTCCTGAAGTTTTGGATTCAGTAGGTCTGGGTAGGGCCTGAGAATGTGTATTTCCAACCAGTTCCCTGCACTGCTGCTGCTGCTGCTGCTATTGCTGCTGCTGCTGCTGCTGCTGTTTTAGTAACTACATTTCAAGATTGATTGGTCAAATTACCCAATTCGTTGCCTGTTAATAAACACAATATTTTGTAAAAGCATATGGTAAGGATAAGTTGTCATTTATCTTTAGAAATTGTGAGAACATATTTGTAAATTAAAGCCAATAATTGTTACTGATTTAATTTTTTATTAACTGAAAGTGAGTATCAACAGGGAGTAGTGATAGTGGTACTTTAATAAACACATAGGAGCTCAAATTAAAAACTTTGAGAACTCACATCTTATGGTCTTCACCTTTATATGTCAGAGGCATGCATGTGAATGCACACATGTGTGCATGCATGCACACACACACACCTATACACAAGTAAAAGTTTGGGAAAGTAAGACAAAAGGCTAACCTGAATATTGTTACAAATGTAGCTGCCCTGGGATACAAATAAATAAAAGCTATTGTCAAAAGTAATGCAATGGTCATTAGAAAGGTATTTACTTGCTTTCTTAAATTTTCTTATTTATACAAGTCACATTACACTGAATATCATGCCATTTTCTTCAAGAAATTTAAGAGATCTTAGCACTTAAGTATCAGCAGATAATTTGCAAATGGTGGTGATTTCACTGTAACTGTATTAATAGGGCATCTTTAACAGTTTATAATTACAGACTTCAAGTTGTGAATATAAACCCTCGTTATGGCATGTATTATAATTAATGTGTGCCAGATAATGCTATTTATTTGAACGTCCATTATTCATGGAACACTACATTGAGCAACAAGGAGAAGGAAAGATGGAAAATAGGGTTATTGACCACAATTTATTTTAAATTATAGTTGTAATGATGTAACAGTGCAAATAAATTGAGAAAAACTGAGTTCATCACACTTGAGAGAATGTATATTAATACTTGGTGATAAGGGATAGGAGATTAATCAGAGAAGGCTTTGTAGAGGACATAATTTTCAAACCAAATGTTTTAAGGTGTAAATTGGTTAAAAAGGAAGAAAACCATTTGAATAAAATATCTGATAATCCAATTTTCTCTGTAAAATTTCCCCAATCTATTATGGTATATATTGATTTTTGCTTTTCATAACTTAAATATCATAATTTGTAACAGAAAATTTGGTGCTTAAATATGTACTGTCTTGTATTGACTATACTATTTCCTTTTTTATATTCATATTTTTTTCCCAACGAAACCAAAAGTTTTTTGATGGCAGGCAAAAAGTTTTATGCATTTTCTTTTGGTATACCATAGCTAGCATAGGCAGTTACCACAAGAGTCAGGACATTCTAGGCAATTTAAAAACAAAGAAAGAAGTAAAAGCAGAAGAAGGAAGAGGAGGAGGAGGAGGAGGAAAAGGAGGAGGAGGAAGAGGAGGGGGAAAAGGAAGGAAGGAAGAAGAAGAAGAGGAAGAAGAAGAAGAAGAAGAAGAAGAAGAAGAAGAAGAAAGAGGAGGAGGAGGAGGTGGAAAGAAAAAATCAGCTCATGAATGATATCAAGACAGGAAACGGGCATTTAATGACTACTGTTTTGCAAGGGATTCAGACATTCCTACAAGGCTACATTGTAAGGTTGATGAAAACATCATTTAAGATGTAGCCTATCATAATTATTTGTACAAAAGTATTTTTAAAAGCTTTATTAAGTTTTAATTAACATACAGTAAACTGCACATATTTAAAATGCACAACATATGTTTTGAAGTATGTATACACTCATGAAACCACTACTACAGTCTAGACAGTGAACACATCCTGACCCTCAACAGTTTCCTTGCGCCTCTTTGTAATCCTTCACTCTCACTCTTGAACATTTTCATTTCTCAAGAAAGCATCGATTGGCTTTCTGACATAATAGCTTAGTTTTCAGGCTCTGGAGTTTTACATAAGTTGATTCATACAGTATGCATGCTTGTTTGGTATCTGGCTTCATTCACTCAGGATAATTATATGCATATTCCTCCATGTTGCTGCCTGTATCAATAGTTTATTACTTTTTACTGAGGAATAGAAATCTATTTAATTGGCTTGCTACAATTTGTTTATTAATTTTACTGTTGATGGACACTTGGGATGTGCCTAGACTTCAACTATAATAAAACTGCTATGAATGGGTCTGCACAAGTCTTTTTAGTTTCATTTCTCTTGGGTAAATGAATAAGGATGGAATGACTAGGTCATGTAGTAGGAGTAGGTTTAACTTTATTAGAAACTGACCAACTGTTTTCCAACATGTTCAATTTTACATTTCCACCAGCAGTGTAAGAGAGTTCCAGTTGCTCCACATCCTCACCAATACTTGATACAAAGAATCAATTTAATTTTAAGTATTCTAAATGTTATTTTATTTTGCATTTCCCTGATGATTAGTAATGTGCACGTTTTAATGTGCTTGTTTTTCATCCATATATCTTCTTTGTTGAAATGACTGTTCACAGTTCTTTTACCATTTTTAATTAGGTTGATAATTTTCTTCTGACACAGGTTTGAGAGTACTTTATATTTTCTGGATAAAAATTCTTTAGCAAATATGAGATTTTCAAATATTTCTCTTTCTTTGTGGTTTGTCTTTTCATTCTAAGTTTTTTTTTAAATTTTTAATTTGCGGGTATATAGTAGGTGTATATACTTATGGGTTACATGAGATATTTTGATACAGGCATATAATGCATAATAATCACATCAGAGTAAATGAGGTATCCATCACCTCAAGCGTTTATCCTTTCTTTGTGTTACAAACAATCCAATTATACTCTTTTAGTTATTTGTAAATGTGCAATAAATTATTGTTGAGTGTAGCCATACTGTTGTGCTAACACATGCTAGATGATATTCATTTTATTTATCTATATTTGTGTACCCATTAACCATCCTTACTTCCCCCCAGCCACTACCCTTCCCAGCTTCTGGTAGACATAATTCTACTCTTTATCTCCATGAGTTCAATTGTTTTAAATTTTTAGCTCTCACAAATAAGTGAGAACATGTGAAGTTTGTCTTTCTGTGCCTGGCTTATTTCACTTAACATAATAACCTCCACGTCTATCCATGTTGATGCAAAGACTGGATCTCATTCCTTTTTCTGGCTAAATAGTACTCCATTGTATATATGTGCCACATTTTCTTCATCCCTTTGTCTGTTGATAGACACTTAAGTTGCTTCCAAATCTCAGCTATTCTGAATAGTCCCACAATAAACATGGGAGTACAGACATCTTTTTGATGTACTCATTTCTTTCTTTTGAATGTGGATCTAGCAGAGAGATTGCTAAATCATATGGTAGTTCTATTTTTAGTTTTTTGACAAACCCTCTAACTGATCTCCATAGTGGTTGTGAGAAGGGACATTCTTGCCTTGTTCCTGATCCTTAAGTAAAAGCATTCAGTCTTATCATGTAGTATTATGCTGGCCATAGGTTTTTCAGATATGCTTTATTATGTTGCAACGCTTCTCTTCTAGTCCTAGTCTGCTGACAGTTTCTATAACAAGTAAATGTTAGATTTTGTCATATTATTCTTCCGCATCTATTGAGATACTTATATGATTTTTCTTTTTTAGTCTGTTAATATCATGAATTGCACTGATAGATTTTTGAATGTTAAACAAATCTTTCATTCCTACAATAAACCCCACTTGTTCATGAAATAGTATCCTTTTCGTATACTGTTGGATTTGACTCACCAAATATTCATTAAGAATTTTTACATCCATATTCATAAAGGATATTGGTGTGCAAGCTTTCTTCTCTTCAAATATTTGTTTCTGGTTTTGGTATCAGAGTAATTCCAGTTTCAAGGAATGAGTTGGGGTATAGTTTTCTCTCCTGATAATTGTTTTTGGAGTTTGTATAGAATTGGTGTTATTTAGTCCTTAAATATTTGGTAGAATTTCCTAGTGAAGCCACCTAAGCTTGGAGTATTCTTTTTGAGAGGATTTATTTTAGTAATAAATTCAATTTCTTTAAGTGATATAGGGCTACTCAAGCTATTTCTTCCTGATTGGACTTTGGTAGTGTTTTTTCTTCCAAGTAATTTGCATATTTCATCAAAGTTGTCAAACGTATACAGTATAAATATTAATACTCCCTTTTTATACTTTTAATATCTGTAGTGATATCATCTCTTAATCCAAATACTATTAATTTTCTTCTCTCTTTTTAAATCTTATCAGTTTGCCTAGAGTTTTACCAATGTTATTAATTTTCTCAAAATACTAGCTTTTGGTTTCACTAATTTTCTCCATTGTTTTTTGGCTTTTGATTTCATTGATTCACGCTCTAACTTGTATTACTTTTTTTCTTCTGCTTAATTTGGTTTTCTTTTGCTCTTCTCCTGGTTTCTCACTGTGGAACCTTAGATAGTTAATTTGAGATCTTCTTGTCTAATATTGTAATTTTATGCCATAAATTTCCCTATAATCACTGACCAGGGACCCTAGCCACCTTGACCTCCCTGGGCTCACAATTCCAGGAGATGAATTTACTACGAGGGCCCAATCATGCCCTATTTGGGTTCCCTCTCCCTGTGCTAAAGGATAGAAATTATATGCAAGCAATAAGCTAAGGCAATAGTAACTATTGTTTCATTTATGTTCTATTTCTTAAGTATCATTATTCATGTACATTTATGTATGATATGTTGAGAACCATTGTTTCATACATTTTGTTTGGTTTCTTTGTTGTTTCAGGTGAAGGGTAAATTCACTCCCTGACACTTAATCTTCACAAGAAATAGAAATTTCAAATGATTTCATTACTTGTACTTCTTTAAAAGTAATTATTACTTTAAGTGGCTTTCTGAAAAATTTTTAAACAGGACATTTTTTAATAACACATTCCATGATCAGATCATGTAAGTTATGTCTCAGAAATCATATGTTGTATTTCTGAGAAAGAAATATTTACAGGCATAATCTTTTTTTGCATCTTAATTGTCAATACCTTAGTTGCTCAAAAGAAAACATCTTTCTGTTGGGGAAAATCTTCCCCAAGAAAAAGCAAAATAGCTTTTGCTGATATATCCATGTTGAACAGAAATAGCAACTGTACTAATCCCAGGTGCATATGGTATGGACAGTTAGAGATCTCTTCAATAATTGAATTCTGAAAAAGTCAGGATAAAAAGCTTCCAGGACCCAAAGTAAAACAGTGAAATCAATTGTTTCTTTTCAGAGTGACAATTATCATTTCTCACATAATAGATGTTATTATCTCAAGTAGCAAAAAGCACATGGGGGTCTTGCAGGTAGTCTGAATAAACCTTTTTTATGAGTCTTTTTAAAATAAATTCCCTTAAAGCTTTAGAGGACAGCTCAGTATGCAATCAACTAGACTGCCCAAGTGCACATGAAAAATAAGAGATTTTGGCAGTAATCAAGCACTGCAAAAGCTTTTTTTTTTTTTAAAGCATCATTTATTTCAAAGTACAACACAAAGTTGTATTTTTAAGAAATACACATTCAATCTTGTATCTCAAGACTTGGCTATGAAGCACTGCAAAATCTTAAAACTGATTAACACAAGGTTTTTTATTACAGTTGTTTTTAAAACGATTTATGTAATTCAAATATTCAAAACGTTCCAGGGCTTTCAAGTCCATTGTTTGACCCTACTATGTTAGACTTTTAGGTCTAATATTAATCTCTTTATTTTTACGCTATAGTGAGTTCCTTAAGATATGGCCTTTGAAAGCATGCAATTATTAGCTGACAATATATCGGATATACATGCTCTAGTTTTTCAGATTATTAACACAGATACCTGAGAAGACTGATGAGAGACTTCATATTGGAATGTTTTATAATTCTTTATTGTATTACATCTGCAAATTATGAGATGAAGTTTTGGCATTTCTAATAATTTCTGTGAATTTTTCTTTTTTAAAGAGATTCTAACTCTTCAAATATTTATATGGGTAACAATATCTTCATTAAATATGGCAAAAGTACCTAAAAGTTTATACTCATTTAGGTAGTCTTCCTAGGGAGAGAAATAGGAACAGAAAATAAAAATTCCTAAGTGGCATTTCATCAACTGTTCTATCATTTTATTTTCCACTGTCTCTTTCTCTCTCTCTCTCTCTCTCTCTCTATATATATATATATATAGTTTATTAAAAATAATTGAAAATAATATGCTAGAGAGTAACATAATAAAGGGCACAAAATGCCCACATTACTCATTTTAGCAGATTGCATTTTCCAAAGATGACTAGAAACATATCTCCTAGAACCTTGCCATTCCACCATCAAAAGGTAGATAGAATCTGTGTTCCCCTTGAATATCCATGTTCCCCTTGAATCTCAGTGGACTTTCGTGACTGCCCAAACTAACAGAGTATAGCAGAATGATACCCTCTGAATTTCAATGCCAGGTCATAAAAATGCTGCACACTTTCACCTGCTTCTCTAGGATGTTCATCCTTGGATCTTTCAGCCTCCCTGTAAGCAATCTGATTACCCCGAGTCTACCATGCTGCAAGGAAGCCCAAACTACTCCACATGGAGAGGCCAGAAATCTACATGAACAGAATGCTTCCTTGCCAGTTTCCAACCATTTCAGCCACCTGCTGTTTTGACTGCAACCACAAGCCAGAACTTCCTGCTAAGCTACTTCTGAATTCTTGACCCACAGATACTGTGAGACATAATACAATGATTGTTGTTATTTTAAACCACTAAGTTTTAGAGTGATTCATTACATAGAAATAACCAGAGGACTCGTTTCTTTCATTATTTTAACAAATTGATATCTGAAAGGGATAACATGCTATAGAGGTTATAGTGTTAATGGCAGGTAACATCAATTATTAGCACTGTGGCATTAATTTCTCTGAGAAACACTTGACTACAGAGAGAAATAACAGGAGCAGGTTAGTTGTTATAGGAAAGTAGAGCTGAGGAAAATTATGGAACAATGGATGAAACTAACATAAGATGGCTTTGAGCAACCATGGGACAGCATGGGGACAAGTGCTAGATTAAGGGGTGTATTGGAGGCAGAGAAAAGCTTTGTCTGCTAAATCAAGGAGTTATTAAAGTATAAGTCAGGGTCATGCTGACTGTGGCATTTGCCATATTTGCAAAGCTTCCCAGGGCACAGTGACAATCTGGCTTCTATACTGCACAGGGATGAAATTAGAATAATATGAGAAAAAAATGGTGAGTTTCTTTTTCTCTCATTTGGCTGAAAATGTCATTTAAAATAAGTTTTGGTACCTAAATTAGAACGCTGCATTTCCTAAAATTTACTTGTTAAATTGCTGTTTCCCTTGATATTAGAATGATTTCACGTAGAGGGACTATCTTAATATTATGTTTGATTGTCACTTAAAGTTATAATACTTCTTTTTAAAATGTATATATAATGTCTGGAAAAAAGCAAGAGTTTTTGGCTGTTTCTATCATTTCCTTCCTGTTTTCATTTATATGATTGCAGATCAGAGAATATAAGGTGAATAAGGGTAAGAGTCATTGCTTCTAGAATTCTTGGGCATAGAATGTTGCCAAGTTTAGGAGTGTACAAGACCATCTCCAAATATGTCGATTGTTCAGTTTCTATCCTTCTCAACGAGTTATCTTTTTGTTCCAAGTAATTGCAGTATGTTGTATGTTCATTGCAGCACTATTCACAATAGCAAAAACACAGAGTCAACTTAGGTGCCTATCAATGGCAGACTGGATAAGAAAATGCATGGACTACCATGCAACCATAAAAAGAAAGAGATCGTGTCCTTTGCAGCAACAAGGATGAAGCTAGAGACCATTATCCTAAACGAATTAACACAGGAACAGAAAACCAAATATCTCATGTTCTCATTTACAAGTGAAAGCTAAACATTGAGTACATATAGACACAAAGAAGAGACAAGAGACAATGAGGCCCATTTAAGGGTGGCTGGTGGGAGAAGGATGAAAATAAAAAAACTGCTTATCGGGTACCATGCTTATTACCTGAGTGACAAAATAATCTGTACATCAAACCCTCATGACACATAATTTACCTGTATAACAAAACTGCACATGTACCCCTGAAAATAAAAGTTTTTTAAGAGAAGAATTGCAGTATCTTAATGATGGCACTCAAAGTGATGGTGATAAATAGTGTTATCATGTACTACATTGCTATCTTTTCTATATTAGGAGCTTAACTCTGCAATAAATTTTATATAAACATTATTTAGGATTGTCTATCTTCTTGTTACCTGAAGGCATTTGAAGAAAACTAGAAGGATGTCACCAAGTTATCTCAATAACTCTACAGATTGCTGTGACACTCTAAAGCTATAAGTGAAGGTAAATGTATCTGATCTATTAAGTCAGATTGTTCCCTCTATTGACGTGGAAGAAAGAGATTGCCAAATTGATTTATAAGTACTTTGGACACCATCAAATTAACTTATTGCCTTCCAGCAACAGGTTGTCAGGTTTACACAGAAGACCATGATTCCTGGGGTGGCCTCAAGCATGACCTGAGCAGTCTAGCCAACAGGGTAGGGCAAACATCAATTACTTGAGCATAACTTGTCAAAATCCTAACTGTACTAGAAATAGCACACTCCTACTCATCATAAAAAAGGATATGAGAGGATTTTTGTAATGCCTCCACCATTTATAAGCCAAGAGAGTCTCTCCCTATGCCAATCTCACCTTAACTCACCAGCTTAAAGCAGAACCACATAATCATTGCTCTTAAGATGATTTTAATAAAGAAATACAGAATATATTATATAGGCTTAGATCATGACCTAAAACTGCTCTCTGGAACACTGATTTATTGAATTGTATTTTTAACAGAATTAATTTTCCTGGATTGGTAATAAGTATGTTATTAAAGCCTGGAAAAAAAATTGAAACTGTGTAAAGTTATCCCATTTCATTCCCATTGTTGAAACAGAGAGAAATCCAGATATTTAACTGAAATGGATTCGACACTGTTAAAAAGCTGGTGAGTCTGATGATTGCAAATGTATCAGAGGGAGGTGGTCTTGGGGAGTGATTAATAACTTCCCTTGTCTAGAGGCACATAGTTGTAATCATAGTAGAAAGCCAGTATCTGTGGGTGCAGCACACCAGCATGGCACATGTATACATATGTAACTAACCTGCACATTGTGCACATGTACCCTAAAACTTAAAGTATAATAATAAAAAAATTAAATTAAATTAAAAAAAAAGAAAGCCAGTATCTGAAAGTCAAGGAAAATGGGGTAGATTGCAAGATAAATGCAGAACACTCTCCTATACACGGGCTCACCAAGTCACCAGTGAAGAGGCAGGTCTGAAAGCCAGCATTCAAGATGGATCTGAGGGTTTACTGATTCTTTATTCATCTTAGAGTGGTAGGTAAATGACAACTCCTATAGTTACCTCTCTTCCTTGTCTTGCAACAGTTTCAATCAATATCAGCCTGTCTAAGTAGTGTAACAGCAGAGAAAAAGATCACAGTCTGACAGTGTTTCAGATTAGTTTTTATAATATATCATACTTTTAATTGATTCTATATAAGAAAGAGCTTATTTCCATTTTAAAACAACAGCTTTAATATTTTCTGTTTACATAAGCATAGTGATGGCATTAAACAGAAAGAAATAGGCTTTCTCCCATTAAATCTCTATAAAGTATTTGTTTATTACAATGCACTTGCTTGTTAATTGGTTAGTTTCTTGCTTAAGCAAGCAGATAACCTAGAAAGGATAGTGTCATTACTCAGCAACTAAAGGAAGTAGCTGTAAATGTATTACCGATTTCAAGTTATTGGTCTTTCCCTGTGGTTCCAATGACTAGACAATCTGAATCCTGAGAGAGGAAACACGACCTGTTTGACAGATCTAAAGGACATAATACCACTTAAAAAGAGCTAAAGCATTTATTAAAATCAAACAGTATTAAGTATCCCCTTCATCATTTCAGTGTTGCTGTCATTCTTTGCTTTCAAGCTATTTTCCTCAGTCTCTGTCATACTTTTGTCCTTAGAATGACAATATTCCCCTGGCAATAGACTTTATGAGTGTTGATAAGAGCGTTATTAATAATAGTATTATGATAGCAATTGAACTAGTATTGTTACCTTGGAAACACTTCTTGTAACTACTCATCTTTGTCAAGAAATATTTGTAGAGTTATCTGTTTATAAAATATGTCATATATGTTTGTACTGAGATGAGTAGAAACATGATCAAATTACAGTAAATAAGATATAAAGACTTCATAAAGCCATAGACTATACCCGAGTCCCTACGATTAAGCCCACTTCTTCCTATTTTCCTTGCATACACTCAACCCTTCAGCTTCAATTTCATCATCTGTAAACTGATGATAAAAATAACTTTTTTCTCTGATTATTTTGAATTGTATAAAATAAGGAATGGAAAGTACATTGTAAATACTGAGTCAATATCAGTTAATTTTGTTTTGGTTGTTATTTGTGCTTTTTCTCATGCATATTTGATTCAGTCACCTGTCCATTTGGAGAATATTGCATATAATTCTGGGAAATGTTATAGTAATTATCTAAGAACAAGTTAGTTATATTCAAGGTAATACTGAATATTTAGTACTCTTTGTTTCTTGTAAACATGTGTATGTGTGCATGTGTTAAGTATGTAAGATCAAATTCCTAAAATAGGCTACGGAGTAAATTAGCCATTAGAGAATATCAGCAGAAAGTTAGACAGACATTAATTATAATTTAAAAGGCTGTATACCAGCAAAGTATATACGTTTCTGCTGGAAAAGCTTTAAAAATAGAAAATATTTTGTATGCTCTACGTGCACTTATGTGAAAGCTGCATGTAATATAGTCAAAAATCAAAACAAGAAAACATAATGGTTGAGAAATTAATATAAACTAAAAATAAAATGTTAAGCATTACCACTGAATGAATGGACCTTCTCTTGGCCAAGGGTACCCCAGAAAAACAACTTAAAAACAGTCCTCAGGCATGATGAGATGGGAAGTCAGTCACTCCTCATTATACTTCCTTCCTTTTGGGGTGTAGACGCAATTGACCAGCATTAATGTTAAAATTGAGATCATAAGATGACAGAAGAGACTCTTTGTGGTAATAAGATACCAAATTATCCATAGGATCTAAGGCCTTAGCAGGCAAGGGTTAATTAAGACTCTTAAACTTAAAGAATAAATTATGTTTTAACCTTCCACAAGGTTTTTATTTTTCTCTAGCAGCTAAACAAGCACTGGCCATGAGATAAGCAATATTAAAACAATTACACGGCCGGGCGCGGTGGCTCACGCCTGTAATCCCAGCACTTTGGGAGGCCAAGGCAGGTGGATCACAAGGTCAGGAGATTGAGACCATCCTGGCTAACATGGTGAAACCCCGTCTCTACTAAAAATACAAAAAAAAAATTAGCTGGGCATGGTGGCAGGCGCCTGTAGTTCCAGCTACTCGGGAGGCTGAGGCAGGAGAATGGCGTGAACCAGGGTGGCGGAGCTCGCAGTGAGCCGAGATTGCGCCACTGCACTCCAGCCTGGGCGACAGAGCGAGACTCCATCTCAAAAAAAAAAAAAAAACAAAAAAAAACTTACAGTTCAGCTCACAGATACTGACTAACCGACCTCCTGTTCCACAAGCCATAACTATAGCTTTGATTGTACAAGACAACTGATTTCAGGACTTTCTCCTGATAAGAAGCCCACTAACCACAGACTGATTCTGGCAACTTTACAGAGGCTGTAAGCTTCTATGTCTTCATGTCCAGAAAAGCCCCTTTCATGTGTAGGTCCCAATTGTAATACATTAAAATGTTAAGGTCTTCGCCCCAAAGTGAACATGGGTCATATGTTACATGCATGTTTGTTCAATAGATGTGTCAGGATCTTCATAAATATTCATAGCTCCTCCTGTAACCTGTTGAATATGTATGTTTAGCCAATCTGTTCAGCATAACGCTCCTACCCCAATCCCTCTTCTTTAAAGTGCCTGTCTCTGGTCTTTGCAGGAGGCACGCTTCTCAGCCTGCAGGATGGACCCCTTACAGGCTGTAACCCCTTATAAAAATAAATCTTCCTCTCCTTTTCTAAATTTATAAATTGTGTGGGTTCTTTAATTAACGTGAGTATACAAGATTGTAAGGAAAATTTGTCCTTTCATTCCAGTATCTTCAAATATTGTTATAATTCATTATGTGCAATGAATCATAATAACTTTTTAGAACTGTATTTAGACACTATTTATTTGCTAGTGGTAACAGTAATCCTAGTGATTTATGGATCATATATCCTTCATATTATTGATTTAGTTGAAAAAAAGTATGTGTTTGTGTGTGTGTGTGACAGAGAGAGAGAGAGAGAAAGAAAGAGAGAGAGAGAGATCATGAGATCATTGTCCATTTGTTAGATCTGCCTACTTCCTTTCTATACTAAAATTCCAGAACAGGAGCAGAGACAGGTAATACACATTTCAGCAGGATTCTATTAACAGATGAAAAACTCAGAGGCATGTGAGCTAGAACTTTTGTCTACTATAATGATTGCTAATATATTTTATTTTTCTCACTAGCCGATTGCCACAGACACATGCTCCATTTGTGTACTGTACACAAATCTGAGCAGTATGAGACAAGGTAGAATGAGATGTTATTGTCTTTGTTTCAATGTGTAGAAGAATATCATATCATATAGGATTCTGGTAATCAACCCCAAACCCATTAACTGTGGTAGCATTTTGGTTGGGCATGGAAGCTTTAATTAACTTACTGAACATACATGAACATTGATTAGAATTATACCATGATGCTCAGCAAAATGATAAAGGAAACTGTGTAAGATTAGCAGTGTTATAAATGAATGGTGATATGTTAAAGAAAATTCTGTGTCCACTAGCAAACAAACTGAAAAGATCTTGATCTACTTATCAGTATTATTTTACATTTATAAATTTTAATTTATCATTGATGATAATAATAGCAGCTCTGTCTATCAAGTACTCATGAAATGCCAGGCCACGTGTAAGCACTTTATATATATAAAATCTCATTTCACTCTCCTGATAATCCTATCTGAGTTAGGTGTGCTTATCTGCATTTCACATAGAAGATAATGAAGGCAGGCTGGATGCAGTGGCTCACACCTGTAATCCCAGCAATCTGGGGGACCAAAGCGGAGGATCACTTAAGCCTAGGAGTTTGAGACCAGCCTGGACAACATAGTGAGACCCTGTCTCTACTAAAAATTAAAGCAAAAAAAGAAACAATGAAGGCATATAAGACTTTTAATTCTACGGCCGTGGTCTCATTCCCATTAAGTAGAAGACCAGGTATTAGAATTCAATCCAAATTATTTAATTTTATCTTTTGTTCTCTTACTGAATGTCTAAAACCTTAAGTTCAAAGTATTCCTGTATCGATCTTTGTTTATCTTGAAAAATCAAAAATTAAATTAATAATTTTGCAAGACAGTCTCAAGACATATACTGTGGACACACATATATAATAAATGACCAATTGATAGAGGAAGATGAATTCCACTACCCACTCTCAAGATAAAGATAATCAGGATCCCTGCTTAAAGTTCACCAAACATGAACAAAAGGAAAGAAAATCCAGGTGGTTATCTAAGATATCTAATTACTTTCACAAAACGTTTTGATAGAGAATGAAATCTTTTGGTTTACTTTACAGTTGTGCCCATATAGCAATGAGGCTGCTTGCAAAATGCTTGCAAAATTGGACTATTTTTAGAGAGAATTTACATTATTTGAATAAAGTAACAATACGTACTTTATTCTGTGAGAAAAAGTTGCTATATAAAGACAGTCATAGTTAGTTTAAACAAATAAGACTTTTTCATGTTATAATGCTGGTGAAATCGCTAAATGACTATGGATTTCCTTTATGGTTTTTAAGGATGTTAACAGCTTCCCAGTCCTCTAACTAATTGATCAGTAAGATTGATACAAAAGTGACAATTACAGAATTGTTTGCCTTTACCTTGGATGGTATTCTTTTAATTTTGTTCTAGACAAGCCAATTTTCCTATGATTAGAAAGACAGTGAAACAGTTATTGAGATTTTATGTAATCAGACATGAAACAAATCTATTCCCAGGCTAAGGTGCTTTGAAATAATAATGGTGCTGTCCTACATCCATGGAGATGATGTCAAGCACTGACCTCACACCAGTGCAAGAGTAAAAAATATCTCATAAGAGAAACAAAGGGTTTATGCAGTTGTGGCCTGTATTTTTTTTAATCACAAATCTCAACTACCCAGTATCTGTATTTCAAAAAAAAAGTCTGAGCTTTGCTGTGCAATCACAGAGAGAAAAAATTTGAGGGAAAAACTGCTTCCTACTGACTATTTCTATTTTTGTCTTTGTGTTTGCAAGTGAGTTTTGATTGCTGGATTGTACAGGCAAGACTTTTCTGGTTGACACTGTAGAAAAGCATGGCAAAAATCAAGTTTAGCTACAAAATATGGAAGTCTCAGGAATGTGGCAAATCCCAAATCAGAGGATAAAAACAGAGTAATTTTGAAATGTAGGTAGGCAATAAAAATATAAGGAAAACACTTTCATCCAGATAGTGTATTTTGATAGAATGAATTTATTCAAAGAGGTATTTTTTCCATGGTAATTGTGGTGCAAATTTGATTTGACTTAAATTTTTTTTAGGAACAAATAAATATGGCATTAGAATATTATACAATTAAAGATAAAAGAAGCTAAGAAACAACAAAAATAAGTAAATGATAATCTTACATTTTTAGATATTACATTACTATTACTACTACTATTGTTACTACTTCTACTATCAGTACTACTAATAACAATAACTAACATTTAATAAAAATTACTGTATGTTGAGGTCTTTTAAGTCTAACATTATACTGAATGCTAACAGTAATCTGAGAAGGTAATTATTATTCTTCTCATTTCTAGTTTGGTAAATTGAGTTTTAGAGAAGTTATGTAACTTGCTAAATTTCAAACAGTTAATAAATGTGATATCCAGGATCTAACCTCAAGTATGTATAACTCCAAATCTGTGAGCTTGTCTATTACACTAAATTGCTTTTTACACTTAAATATTAATGACCGAAAAAAATCTGTTAGAACTGCTTAGATTTGCTATGAATTTTAAATCTTGGTTCAAAATATGCTATAGATTTATTCCCCACATTTGTACCCAATCATTCCAACTGAGAAATAGTTGAGATATTGTACGTACCACTGGAAAGTATTATCAACAATTGTTGTCAAGTTTATGACTCTGTACTGATTTTAAAATACAATGTGCATTGAGAAGCAGCATTACAAAAAGAGAGAAAGATAGAGAAAGAGATTAAAAATAATTATTCAAAGAAGCATTATTTTAACAAACAGAAAGGTTCATATTTGTCTAGCCTACAGTTTTGGGACTCCTTAAAGAAACTGGTAGAATAATGAAGAAATTTGGAGAAGGAATGTGGAAACACATATTATAGATAAAGAGAGGATGAAGAAGGACTCTCTAAAGACAAATCAAACTATTTTGGTCTATCAGTATGTCTTCATTCAAATTGAATGCAAATGTTACTCCAAGCAGGGATGGGGGGGTGGGAGGGGACAATTTCACAAGCTATAACACATTCTTTTTAGTTAACATTTCTTCACTCTTGTCCGCATCATATTTCCACTCTCTAACTCCAAAGTTTAAAAACGAACAGTTTTACAAATTACTTTCTGTTTTTTTCCCCCTTGACCGCAATTTTTTTTGAAAGTACGTGTTTGGCTGTCTTTAAGACATAAATATTTTAATTCCATTTTGGCTCTGGAGACCTTAATTCAGCTTTTCAATGTAGAAAGGCACAGTGAATAAATGTCTATCATGCATTGGTTCTTTAATGACTACAGGGGCATTATGAGATTAAAAATTCAGAAAGGAAGTTGCTTGGTTTTTAGCAGATGCAGGGCGAGAAGTTTCCAAAATCTACCAAATCTAAATCCCTTTGAACTTGAAATACAAAGTAAATTCACTTTTCTCAAAAGTGTTTCTGATACCAGTGTCAGAGCAGTTTTGACCCCAGTAAGTTATTTGTAAAGAGTTCTAAATTAAATAAACAAATAACATAAGGTCAATAACAGAAAACATTTCCTGACCTTACTGTTTTCATAATTTCATAATAGGGTCTTTCAAAATGACACTAAAAATTCCTAATGTTTAATTAAATTTCTAAACTGAATTAATTATTGGATAAATAATCACAGATAATGTCTTTTATGAAAAAAGTGTCCAATTATTTTAAGAAGAGATAAATAATACATCATATTTTATATCATCTTGGATATAAAGAAGATGCTAATTGGGGAACTCCTTTTGAAAAATAAGTTTTGACGAACTGTTTAATAAATCAAATGCAGCATTCACTGGTCTGTTTAGAGAGATCACTACA
Organism: Homo sapiens; assembly: GCF_000001405.40. Classification (NCBI taxonomy): domain Eukaryota; kingdom Metazoa; phylum Chordata; class Mammalia; order Primates; family Hominidae; genus Homo; species Homo sapiens. The sequence continues at coordinate 92,316,336 of NC_000023.11, read as the reverse complement.
TTTCTCAGCATCTTATGCGATTTTATGCTTTCACGGTTTTCCCAGACAGTTATTTCTACAATATTATTTGCCTAGCATTTGGCAAATTCTAGGCAAAACATTAAATATATTGTTTTATAATGTATAATTTATTTGCCTTTCTCCTACACTAAACTGTGAGTTCACCTAAAGCAAGCCACCATGACCTGCTTCTAGCACAATTGTACATCTAGCACAATTGCCGGCACAAAGATTGTTCAGAAAATGTGATGGTTAAAGCATATGGGGTTGAATACTTGCCTTGACTTCAGAAGAGCACTGATAATTTGTTCTATTAATGTAATATTCATGTTGAATTCATTTGCCAAGTCCATCTGAATAAAAATATAAAAATGAAATATATTCTTGTTTTGGTCATTATACTTGTATTAATTGAGTAATTTCCCAACTCTTCATATGGTTTCAGTTAAAAACATACAGCCGCAATAAGTGAAGAACAATGCTCTAAGATTAAATAATTCAGGCCAGGGGTGGTGGCTCACCCCTGTAATCCCAGCACTTTGGGAGGCCAAGGAGGGCAGATCCCTTGAGCCCAAGAGTTCAGGACCAGCCTGGGCAACATGGTGGGACCCCATCTCTACATAAAATACAGAAATCAGCCCAGCATCATGGCATACACCTGTAGTCTCAGCTATTCAAGAGGATGATGTTGAGGATCGTTTGAGCACAGGAGATCAAGGCTATGGTAAGCTGTGATTGGATCACTGCACTCCAGCTTGGGTGAAGGAGTGAGATTCTGTCTCCAAAACAAAAAAAACTTAAATAATTTGATCATTTCTATCATTTCTATCAAGGATGTTATGGTTTAAGGTCACTTTTCTGAGGCCAGAGAAGTGAGATGGGACTTCCAAAATTATTCACATGGCTCCAGTCAATAAATAAGCAAGCAAGCAATCTAGCTAGCAAACAAAAGAAACAACAATAATTTTAAAAACCAGCTGTAAATAAAAGAAGGTTTTAAATATCTAAACTGTCTCTGTGTTGATTAAAATTTAATGGATAGATGCCAATCCTCCAGTGCACTTTATGCTATATAGATCTGGCAGGAGTAAATAGCACATGTTACAGAATATCTTAATAAGACATAGAGTATGTGGCTAATATTACAGTGCGTCTATGAGCATCTGTAAAAGTTTAAAGATTTGAAAGTTGTTTAGTGTTTCAACTTGCTTAGGGCCCTCTGGGAGGTGCACATATTGATTGCACTTTTCTTGTGGCATTTACTTCACAGGGACATTGATGAAGATTCTTAAAATTCATGCTAGAACTTGAAAGGGAAATAAATGAAATGGAAACTCAAATCATAACATATTGTTAAGCGTTCAAATTTAAACATATTGAAATCCAAACCTGTAGAGGCTTGCATAGTAATATTAACTTCATCTGGTCTTCAAACATTGTACTTTTAAATCTTCACAGACTAGAAAACAATCTTACTGACCTATTTATGTTATTAACCTTGATCCTGTATATCAATGTTTTAGATATCCCACAAAACTTGCAAAAAACAATCCAGTGCTCTATGTTGATATGCAGCCCTGTGCCGCTCAATGTTTTGGTCAGCGACAGATTACATATATGACTGTGGTTCCATAAGATTATAATGGAGCTGAAAAATTCTTACTGCCTAGTGACTTCGTAGCCATCATAATGTTGTAGTGCAATGCATTACTCGTGTTTGTGGTGATGCTGGTGTCAACAAACCTATTGCACTGCCAGTCATATAAAAGCATAGCATATACAATTATGTACAGTACATAAGACTTGATAATAATAATTAACAATTATGTTACTAGTTTATGTATTTACTATATTACAATTTTTATCATTATTTTAGAGTGTACTCCTACTTTGGAAAAGAAATTAGTTGTAGAAGAGTCTCAGGCATGTCCTTCAGGAGGTGTTTCAGAAGACGGCATTGTTATCATAAGAGATGACAGCTTCATGCATACTATTGCCTCTGAAGATCTTCCAGTGAGACAAGATGTGATATTGATGATCCTGACTGGGTGTAGGCCTAGCTGAACATATGTGTTTGTGTTTTATTTTTTAACAAAACAGTTTAAAAAATCAAAATGTTAAAAACAGAAAAAGTCTATAGAATGAGAATAAAAAGAAATAAAATATTTTTGTGCCCCTGTACGATATCTTTGTGTTTTAAACTAAGTGTTATTACAAAAGAGTTCAAAATATTTAAAAATTACAAAATGTATAAAGTAAAAAATTTACAATAGGCTAAGGTTCATTTATTATTGAAGAAAGAAAAATAGACTTCCTTCGATTTAGTGTATCCTAAGTGTACAGTGTTGATAAAGTCTACAGTAGTGTACAGTAGTGTCCTAGGCCTTCACATTCGTTCATCACTCACTCACCCAGAGCAACTTCCAGGCCTGCAAGCTCATTCATGGTAATTGCCCTATATGAGTGTACCATTTCTTCCTTTTTATACCGTATTTTTACTGTACTTTTTCTAGGCTTAGATATATAAATACTTACCATCATATTATATGTGTCTACAGGTTACAAATATATACATTAACATGCTGTACAGATTTGTAACCAAAGAACATTAGGCTATATAATACAGCTTAGGTGTGTAGTAAGCTATACCTTCCAGATTTGTGTAAGGACATTCTATGATGTTCTCATAACAAGGAAATCACCTAACAATGCGTTGCTCAGAAAGTATCTCCATCATTAAATGACACATGACTGTACTTAATAAACCTGCACAACAAACACTACTGGGCGTGTGTCAGTACAATTTACATGAAAATTTTACAGTTATAATTTGTTCAAGAAAAAATTACATAGAAGATATTCAAATGTAAGGACCACAAGAAACAAATTGTATCTTTTCTTTAATGTGAAGGAAGTGTATAATGATGGAAAGAGTATAGGTATTTGGCCAGATGTAGGTTTGTCTTCTCTATCAGTCATTGACTAACTGTGTGACTTTTGCCCAGTTACCTATTTTCTCTAAGGCTCTGTGTTATCATCTGCAGACAAAGTTAAAAATACCTACCTTCAGGTATAGTACATTGCAATGTCCCTGTTACATAGTGGGGACTTAATAAAAGTTAGCTGCCTTCTTTCTTACAGAAAAAAAAAATGTACACATTTTGTGGAATTACAGACTGAAGAAATGTCATCTTTATCCCTGCTTTTTACTATTGTCACTGAGACTGCTTTGCTCTTCTCAGATTAGGACTAATGAAAAAGCTCCTGTTACTAGGAAAACATGGGCAATTGTTAATACATAATAATCTAGCCATTAATGAAGAGACTATTTTATAGGAAATAAGAGCATCAGGGAAATCAAGCAATTAAATTATTATTAATAGTTTCAGGTACTAGACTAAGTGTCTACATGACCCCAAAACACACTGGGCAAGCCTCTATTCCTGAACAGGAGTTAGTTATTTTAGGCCTTCCGTGTATCCTGGTTAATTCTTCTCATTCAGGGTACATAGTTTAAAAAAAGAACTCGTGCTAGTAGGGAAAATGATCGAAAATAAAATAGTAAGTTGAAACAGTGGAAAATGACACTTTTCAAACAGCATTCACTTGAATATAAATTTAAAACTGTAAAAATGATTTGTGGCTGGTAAAAATAAAAACGCATTCAAATTTCTAAGGTTTTAGTAAATGCTTGCCATTTCTACAATTGGAAAACAATTTTAGATAGGTACTTGTCCTTTTTGCATGTGTTCTTGTGTAGTAATATTTATGAAAATAATGGAGTATTTACGTCAGTGATATTATTAATCTGAGTAGTACATTAGTCAAAACCTTTTTCCCACGGGAACCAATCTCTTACTTTAACATGTAAGTTAATATAAAAATCGTATTATTACATTTTGATAAATTTGAAAGAATGTGGCACCGAAATAAATCTATTTAATTAAATAAGGAACACATATGCTAATAAATTTTTTTCATACTACATACTAAATCCCTCCTTGAACTTATTTTACAGTGATATTAAGTGTCTCTCAAATTTCCTATTTTGCCCTACAAGTTATCTAAAGGCTATAATTATTCCACTGTATCATTTTTAAAAGGTAATCAACTATGTTTTGTGAAAGAAAAATAAAATAGAAAAATTAATTTATCATGGAACAGTTTCATTACCACCAATGGAAAAAGTCAATGCATAGACACGTCTGGCCAGGGCATTCTTTGGCACTGCAATGATGCCAAATTTGGTTATGCTAAATAATTTTAAACCAACAGTGTATCTAACAATGCTTATTTACTCTACAGAATACATATACTTAATTTTCAAAAGATCATCTTTTTCTTACCCTATTCTCTCAAAAATAGTAACTAATGTTTCTTTTCTTTTCTAAAAAGTCATAGAAACTATCCTCTTCTATTAAAAAAACTTAATATCCTACTGCTTCCTTATCATATATTCCATTTTATCTGTATTGTAATAAACAAAGAGGAAAAAGGACAGTATCTTTTTATTTCCATTTAATATAAAATCATAGAATGTCCCATGTTAAAATTATAAAACTGAATATCACGGACAAATTTGTAGCACACACACTGTAATTGCTTACTTTCTGGAGTACATGAAGTAAGCACTAGTAGTGAGGGAAGATAAGTCCTGTGAGCTACTGTGGAAAAAAAAAAAGCAAACATTTAATTATATTTCATTCTTTGAGAATTAACTTTCAATTGCCAAATGTGGTGGCTTCTCAAGCAAACATTTAATTATATTTCATTCTTTGAGAATTAACTTTCAATTGCCAAATGTGGTGGCTTCTCATTTTAACTGAACAATGTCAATCTGATATATTTGACTACTTGGGTTTTGGGGGGCTTTTTTCTCTCTTTTATTTGAAGAACTAAATATACAAATAATAATTACCTGTGGTGATGGCACATCAACTAAGATTACAAAGTTATCATAAAAAAGAGAAGAAATATTAAAAGCAAATATTTACCACTTAGAATCTAACACTGACAATTAACTAGTGCAGAACACTTCCAGTTTTATAAGGCTGACTCTATGTCAAAATGGATTCAAGGTGAAAAATAAAACTGACTTGAAAGCAGAAAACAGTCTACCATAACTGAGTGTCTTTTATGTATGAGGTGAGTTTTATGCATTATTTCCTACTTTATAAATCATCGAACGATTGGTATCATCCTCATTTTACATTTCTATTGTTCTTAAATGTTTTATATATCAAAGTTATTCTCCATCCGTTTCTCATCTAATAGAAATTAGATAAACTGGAAATTTAGTTGAGGTCAAAGTCACTGTACATAAAATCATTTGGGTTACTCGGAAAACTCAAAGCCTGAGAAATTCATTATTTGACTAACTCATTGATCTAATGTCTTATTATATATCAAACTGCTCAGGTTATTTTACTCAGAGTTTCAGGTGAACTAGGACTTACAAATAAAATCTACAATGCGCTACATTTACGAAAACGAAATCTACATTTTAACTATTTCTCAAAATTTTGTAAAAGTGTTTTACTGGAAGAGAGTTCATATGCTCTTGAGGAGATAACACTTATCCTCATCATTTTTGCTTTTCACTCATACCTGAGAATGAATGGAATAAATATTTTAAAATTACCATTTAGAGGCCAGTGGGGTGGCTCAAGCCTGTAATCCCAGCACTTTGGGAGGTCAAGGCTTGCAGATCACTTGAGGTCAGGAGTTCGAGACCAGACTGGCTAACATGGTGAAACCCCATCTCTACTAAAAATATAAAAATTAGCCCAATGTGGTGGGGGGCACCTGTAATCCCAGCTACTTAGGAGGATAAGGCAGGAGAATCAATTGAACCTGGGAGGCTGAGGTTGCAGTGAGTCGAGCCTGGGCAACAGAGCAAAACTCCATCTCAAAAATAAAATAAAATACAATAAATAAACAAGTAAATTACCATTTAGAAAAAACATGATGTTAACACAAAGAAGACTAAGTAGGGGCACATGTTTCCAAAAGAAAAAGATTTTAGAATGCGGTGATGTTGACAAAATTAAAAGTTCTATTCCCAAATTTAATTAAACATAAATTTTCAGCCTGATCTCTTTACTGGTCTGCATTTCAACCAGAACAGAAAAGCAAAACATGAGCGAATACCGGACACGGTGGAGAAAATTGTTTAGAATCAGGTAATAAAGGAAAGTTGAAGAGAGTAGTACATAGGAAACAAAGGCATAACAAAAACAGCAACAGAGTGAAGCAGGTGGTGAAAAACAGAGCAAAAAAACCCGAGTAAGAAAACAAGAACGATGGTTAAACTGAAGGAAATAGAAACTAGAGTATCTGGAAATTGAACCAAACTTTTCTTTTCCTTAAAAAATTAATAATGCAATTGTAAAAGTGTCATTCTATACCAACAAGGAAGAGATGTTTGAAAAGCAGCATACAGCAAATCTAGATCAGTATTAAATAGAAAATTACTGCTATACAGGTAGTTGTCTCTTGTCCCTGCTATCACTGGCTTGGGGGAAATGTCTCCGGCAGTGAGAGATGCACCACTAGAAAGTGATTTCCTTTGTTTCCTCAGTGGAGGGAAAATCCCATTTAATTTTAGAATTGGTAGAAGTTACAGGTCTGAGTTTGTTTTGTTGTAAATTTGTTTCTTTCATTGTGAAAAAATATAACATAAAATTTACAATTTTAACCCATTTTAAGTGTACACTTCAGTAGCATTAAGTACATGCACATTGTTGTGAAACTGTCATCACCATCCATCTCCAGAATTTTTATCTTTCCAAACAAAACCCCCAAAGCCATTAAACAATAATTCCTCACTCTTTCCTTCCCTCCAGCCCCTGGCAACAACCATCTTACTTTCTATTTCTAGGAATATGACTAATCTAGGCACCTCTTTAGGTGGACAACGTGGAATCATCCAGTATTCGTCCTTTTGTGAATGGTTTAATTCACTTAGCATAATGATTTCAGGGTTCATTCATGTTGTAGCATATTGCAGAATTTCCCTCATTTTTTAAAGCTGACTGATATTCTACTGTATATGTATATACCACACTTTGCTTATCTGTTTATCCATCAATAGACACATATATTTCTTCCATCTCTTTGCTGTTATGAAAATGTTGCTATAAATATGGATATACAAATATCTGTTCAAGATGCTGCTTTCAATTCTGTAGCATTTATACCCAGAAGTGGATGTGTTGGATCATATGTCAGTTCTGTTTAATTACTTGAAGAACCATTCATTATCTCAGTTTCACAACAGCTGCACTATTTTACATTCCAACCAACAATGCACAAGGCTTCCATTATCTCCACATCTTCACCAACACTTGGTATTTCCTTTTCTTTTTTTAGTAATAGCCTTTCGAATCGGTGAGAAGTGGTTTCTTGTTGTGGTTTTAATTTGTATTTTTCTAATAATTAGTGATATTGAATATCTCTTAATATGCTTATTAGCAATTTATATATTATCTTTGGAGAACTTATTCAAGTCCTTTGTCCATTTCTTAATCTGAGTGTTTAGTTTTGTTGTTGTTGTTGTAGGAATACTTTAGCTATTCTGGATATCAACTCCTTATGAGATATATGGTTTGCAAATACTTTCTCTAATTCTGTGGGTTGCTTTTTCACCCTGTCGACAGTGTCCTTTGATGCACAAAAGTGTTTGTTTAATTTTAATGTATTATTTTTGTTACCTGTGCTTTTGATTCCATATCCAAGAAATCATTATCAAATCTAATGTAATGAAGCTTTTCCCCTATGTTTTCTTCTAACATTTTTATATATTACCCCTTATGGTTAAGGTCATTGATTCATTTTGAATTAATTTTTGTATATGGCATAAGGTAAGAGTCTCACTTCATTATTTTGCATGTGCATATCCAGATTTCTAACACCACTTGTTAAATAGACTGTCTTTTCCCTATTCAAAAGTCTTGGTACTCTTGGCGAAAATCATTTAACCATATACATGATAGTTTATTACTGGGATTTCTATTCTATTCCATCGGTCTATATACCTGTATTCATACCAGCACCCACACTGTTTTGATCACTATGGCTTTGTAGTAAGTTATGAAATCAGAAAGTGTTAGGCCTCCCACTTCGTTCTTTTTTAAGACTGTATTAGCTATTCAAGGTCCCTTGAGATTCCATATCATTCTTAGGATGTATTTTTCTAGTTTTGCAAAAAGTATTATTGGGATTGATAGGGGTTGCACTGAATATGTAGACAGCTTTGGGGGGTATTGACTTCTTAATAACACTAAGTCACTCAGTTCATAAACACAGTATATCTTTCCATTTATTGGTGTCTAATTTCTTTCAGCAATATTTTGTAGTTTATAGTCTACAAGTCGTTCACCTCCTCAGTTAAATTTATTCCTCAGTATTTTAATCTGTTTGAGGATATTTTAAATGGTATTGCTTTCTCAAATATTTTTGTGTGCTCATTTTTAATGTATAGAAATATAACTAATTATGTTAATTTTATGTCCTCCAACTTTACTTGTAATGTATTACACTGATTTTTAGTTCTAAGAATTTTGTAGAACTTTCACAACTTGAGGCACTTAAATAATTGTTATGATTGCCATGAGACCTTCATGCAAATGGAGAAAATGATTTAACACATTTTTAGTTCTAAGAATGTTTTTGTAGAATCTTTAGGGTTTTGTATTTACAAAATCAGGCCATAATGCATATAAGACAACTTAATGTCTTTCTTTCAAATCCATTCCATTACAATGTTAAATAGAAGGAATGATAGCAGACACCCTATTCCTGTTCCTGATCTTAGAGGTAAAGCTTACAGACTTTCATATTATGTTAGCTGTGGGTTTTTTATATGTAGTTTTTATTATGTTGAGATAATTTCCTTCTATTCTAGGTTGTTGCTTATTTTTTATCATAAAAGGGGATGTTGAATTTTGAAAGTGTTTTTTGTACATTGAGATGATAATTTTTTTCCTTCATTCTGTTAATGTAGTGTATTACATTGTTTGATTTTAATACACTGAAACATCCTTGTATTCCAGAAATAAATCTCACTGGGTCATGGTATATAATCCCTTAAATATGTGGCTGAATTTGGTTTGCTAATGTTTGTTGAGAACTTTTCATCAATATTCATCAGCAGTATTGGTCTGTAGTTTTCTTTCCTCAGTGTCTTTTTCTGACTTTGGTATCAGGATCACACTGACCTTACAGAATGAGTTGGTAAGTATTTCCTTTTCTATAATTTTTTGGAAGAATTTGAAGGGGATTGATGTTAACTTTTCTTTAAATGTTTTGTAGAATTCACCAGTAAACACATCTGGTCCTGAGCTTTTCTTTGTTAAGAGTTTTTTATTTTTTGTTCCCCTTCCCCTCCCAATGGATTCTTGCTCTGTTGCCCAGGCTGGAGTGCAGTGGCACGATCTTGGCTCACTGCAACCTCCACCTTCCAGGTTTAAGCAATTCTACTGCCTTAGCCTCCAGAGTAGCTGGGATTACAGGCACGCACGACCACGCTCGGCTAATTTGTGTGTGTGTGTGTATTTTTAGTAGAGACGGGGTTTCACCATGGTGGCCAGGCTGGTCTTGAACTCCTGACCTTGTGATCTGCCCACCTTGGCCTCCCAAAGTGCTGGGATTACAGGTGTGAACCACGGCGCCTGGTCAAGAGTTGTTTTTTTTTTTTTAATTATTATTATTATTACTGATTCAATCTCTTTACAATTATAGTGCTATTTGGTTCCTTCCTATCTCTCTCTTTCATTCTTGATATTTCTCATCTTTCATTTCTGATATTAATTAAATATTAGTCTTTTCTTTTTTTTCTTCATAAATTTAGTGAAATTCTTGTCAATTTTGTTGATCTTTTTAAAGAAACAATTCTTAATCTCATGGATAGTCTCTATTGTTTTTCTATTCTCTATTTTACTTACTTCTGCTCTAGTCTTTATTATTTCTTTCCTTCTGTTCACTTTGGGTTTAGTTTGTTCTTTCTCTAATTCTTTATGATGTAAAGCTAGGTTGTTGATTTGAGATTATTTTTCTTTTTAATGTAATTGTTTATAGCTATAAATTTTCCTGCTTTCAATGCATCCTACAAGTTTTGGTAAATTGTTTTATTTTTATTTGTTTCAAGATATTTTATATTTTCCCTTGCAACTTCTTCCTTGACCTATTGGTTGTTTAAGAAATTTCCACATATTTTGGATTTTCCTTCTATCGTTGATTTCTAGTTTCATTCAATTGTGATTGAAAAGGATACTTTGTATAATTTTAGCCATTTAAGATTATTGACTTGTTTTATGGCTGTCATATGGTCAATTCTGGAGAGTGTTCTAAGTGTACTTGAGAAAAATGTGTATTCTCCTATTTTTTAAAAAAACACAAAACCTGTTCACTGCCATTGTCACCCATTGTACATTTGGTTCAACAGTTTTCAGAGAAAAAAGATGTTTATTCTTTTATGTTAGTTAAATTTTGCTCTGGATAAGTGCAGCAAAATAGTAAGAAATGTAAGGGTGGTGGCTAGTTTGAATGTACCTCTGTCATTCAATCATAATTTACTGTATTCGTAACACATATGCATATGCCAGCTTCCTCTAGGTAGATTCCACTTTAAAAGTTTGTGAAAAGATGTGATGAAGTAACATCAAATGTATATGCTTAACAGGTGTTATAAACTGAATAGATCCCCCCAACCCAAATTCATACTTTGAAGCCCCAACCCCCAATGTGACTTGCAAATAGGGCCTTTAGGAAGGTAATTAAGGTTAAATGGAATCATAAAGGTGGGGTCCTAATTTGATAGGACTGGTGTCTTTATAAGAAGAGGAAGTCCAAATTCGATACGACTGAGGAAGAGACACCAGATATCTCTCACTCTGCATGCACACAGAGAAGAGGCCATGTGAGCACACAGCAAGACGGTGGACATCAGCAAGCCAGGAAGAAAGGCCTCACCAGAAACCAAACTTAATGGCACCTTGATCTTGTCTTGCACTTTCTGAAACAGGAAGAAAATAAATTCCTATCATTTAAGTTACCCCATCTGTGGTAACTTTGTTACCCATATGTGGTAATTCTCATAACTGTTATGGCAGTCCTTGTAGACTAGTACAACAGCTTTTAGGCTGTGTCTATGTGTGGCATGACTATCAATAATTTTAGAATTTTGTTAGGAAGTTTTTCTGAATATCTGACATAATCTGGTGCTAAGTGCAGTCTTAGTAAAATATAGTAAATCAACAAGAAAAATTGTATTCAATTGGCTGTGGGTAGACAGATGTGAGTGTAACAGATTGCTTTCAAATATTCCAATTTCCTAGATTATCTCTTGGGATACAGCAAAAAAAAAATGGCTGCAAGATTATATTCATTGCAATCATGGCTAACTTAAGAGGGCTGGGAAGCTGTCATTTTTCTAAGTTTATTTCAATTCAATATCATCATATTTTCATCTCAAATTCACTAGAGGAATCAGTCAAAGTAACAGTTTTATTTTACTGCTCTTCGAGCAAAGTTTATTATGATTTTTAACATAAAGAGTAGTGTAGTACAGTGGAAAGAATATTGGATAGGCTAGAAAGAGTTTAGAACATAAGGATGGCAACCTAGTTTTAGACAATAAGATATTTTCTGAGCCAGGGAATATTACTTAATGTCCCTGAATCTCATTTTCATCCTCTGAAGAATAAGAGTGGGAAGGCAAGCTAGATATTCCCTAAGGATTCCCCCAGCTCCAACAATATATTATCCTAAGACTAGTGTTTTTCTTATACAATATTGTCTATTTTACTTTGAATTATACCAGTCATAAAAGACCATATCTAACACAGATATGGATATCATAGGCAGCATATTTATATCATTGAGTGGTTCTTGTACAATGTCATAAATACATGTCAGTTAAAAATAAAACTGATATATCTGTGTAGCTTTTTGTCAATTTTATAAGTTCTGGTAAATCTGAATCAGTTTCTGCTTTGCTTCAGACTGTAGATTTGAAAGTCTTCAACGATGGCAAGATAACCATTTTTATATCTTACATCAAAGGCAGGTAGCTGTATTCACTAAATGAATAGAGTAAAAGCCTTCAATAAAAATAAAATTTATTTATTTTGGTTAACATTAAGTTTATAGCTAAATTAGGAAACATAAGGGAAGAATTTTTCAGGTATCTGATTAATACCATCCACATAGGTTGACAACCTAGATGACCCTTGGGAGACATAACCTAAACATAACACAGGAATAAAACAGTGTTCTTTTGATTTATCTTTAAATATTCTACTTGTTTGTCTTCTCTAAGCATTATTGTTGACAGAATTTCCCACTCCACTGGTAACTAAGAGTTCTTATTCTTCCAAAATAAAATATCTCAACTTAGTCATTTAAAACTCGTGTTGCATTGTAGTAAACATCTGAACTCATTTAAGAACTGTTTATCTTGTGAGGTATGATTGTAGAGCACCAGTTATAAATGGCATTACAACATACTGTCTTGGACTGTAATTCAACCATTAGCGTTAGTTGTACTCTTCATGGGAAGGAAATGCAGTGTCTTAGTATGAAAATTACTATGTAAAATGATATTTTTAAAATGAGAATGGGATGTTCAATTTCATATGTTTGACAGATATCGCTTCCTAAACATCTGGGAGCCTGAGAAACATTTAAACACATAGTTGCAGGTGGCAAACAGATGCAAATATATTCACAGTTTTTGTCAGATAGTGTTTCTTTACATTATATATAAGCAGTTTTTTGTCAGATAGTGTTTCTTTAAATTATATGGACATACTTCCTGTCAAGAATGTTCCTCTTATTTATATTTACCTCAGTTGGAGGTTCTCTAGGACCCTACATGAATAATCATCTTAGAGAAGGAGATATAAAAACCCACTGAATTTTCGAATTTGGTATAGAAAGGCTGACCATACTTTCCTTCTTGAAACTCTGTCAGGCAATTGTTCTGCAATGCTGTTATCTTACTCTATTCAGTTTTGTTATCTTCTTCCAGTAGAATTTTCTGGCTTCTCTTCTTCCAATCATATCATTGAAAGTATATTGTGACAGAATTTCACCCATGGAGCTGTTATCTTCTTCCTCTTCTATGTGATCTTCTTGGGTAATATCTGTTCCAGTGACTTCAAATATTGCATATTTTATCATGCCTCTCACCTTTCTATCTCCAAGTTCAAATGCTCTCATACCTCAAGAGCCATACTTCTAGCTGCCTGCTAAGCATCTTCAACAGGATGTCCTACAGCCACATCAAAACAATATCTTCAAAACCATAGTAATTACATTCTGCTTCGAGTTTGTTTCTCTCCTTATGTATTCCACTAGCATTGAAATCAGACATTAGCTACAAAATATTGTTCCATTATCAAATTTTTACTTTTCTGCTAGTCAATATCTATATCCAATCAATAATTTCTCAACTTTCTATCTCTTATATTTCCCTTGAATTCATTCTCTATCTATTCTTACTCTTCAAGTCATGTTTTAAGGTCTTGAATCATTTAATATCTGGGCTTAGCTTAGTTGAATTTCCCTTCCATACAGCTTCTGGAACTATTCTTTAAAACCCCAAATCTGGTCATATCACTCAGATTCTTAGATAGTACATGGGTGCTGCATTTCTTAAAGGATAATTTTAAAATTTCCCAGTGTGACATACAAGCCCCTTCACAATCTGTGGAAGTCTCACACACTAAGCTCCAGGCTATAAAAAAACAACTGTCCTAGCCAATAAACTCTGATTTTATATTCTTTTATATTCAAATCATAGTGTAAAAACTGACTTCCAGCATGACATCTGAGGAGTTCCATGGATGTAATCCCTTGCAAAACTGGTAAATATTAATTTAAAAACAGCCATTTAAAGCGTCAGAAAATGATCTTAGAGCATCTAGCAAATGAAGATATACTTGTTCAAGAAAATCTACTAAAATTCTACAAAAAGAGCGAGAGTCTGTGGTATTCGTATGAAGACCTGTGCCTTCCTTTCTCCTCCCAGGTCAGCAAGACTACAACTCCGTTACACATGAGAGCAGCCAAGAACACAACATTCCCTTTTACCTGACTCCCAGTGGGAGTGCTATCTTTCTTAGGGGATCATAAGGTCAGAATTTCTTACCCTGCCCCTAACTTCCTGTTGTCGAGGCTAAGTTTCAGGTAAATGCAGCTGAGAGGTGAGGGCTTTCTTTTCTACCCAGCCCCCATTCAAGTGATGGAGGTTCTACCTTGGAAAAGATACAACGAAGAATACTAGGGTCCCAATCTGCCTTGCCTTCACTTGTAATGCAGTAGTTTCATGGCCAAAGAATGGCTGAAGCTACTACCACTGACCACTTTGTTACCTCCACTAAGCACTCAGCTCCTAAAGCAGGAGAATCACACACAGAGAAGTCGGCCAGTTCAGGACCAGGTAGTTTCACTGTTGAATTCTACCAAACGTTTAAAGGATAATTAACACCAATTCTTCACAAATTCTCCCCTTAAAAAATAGAAGAGTCAGGGAATACTTTCTAATTCATTGTACGAGGCCATGATTTCCTGACACCAGAACCAGGCAAAGACAACACAAGAAAAGGAAGCTGCAGAATAATATCTGGAATGTAAACACACAGATTCTCAAAACAAAACAAAACAAAACAAAACAAAACAAAACAAAAAACAAAAAAGTGAACCCAGACTCCTAGGAAAGGGATGCATTGAACATGTGAGGAGTGATTCACTTTCGCCACGGACATCTGGAATCCTGGTAGCAGGAGACCCCATGATCCCCATGGGCACTTGAGGTAGCAGCGAGAACTGCTTAAAGATTTTTAAGGCTGGGCAGAATTCCAGCCTATGTGGAGCCCAGAAGGTTTGGTGTGGGAACATCTGCAGCCAAGTACTGCCAGGGACGCCCATTCCCCAAGGCTCGCCATGCTCCTCAGGACACTCTAGACTTAGGGAAACTGTCAAACCAGAACACAGCAGAACAATCTTGCCCAGGAGACCAGTCAGTCCACCCTGAGCGCCTCCTGTCTGCTAACCTCTCCTGGGTCCCCACCCTGGCCACGCCTACTTGCAGTTTAGCCTCCAATACTCAAATGGGGTGCCTGCAGGATCCCGCATCATAGCTCCTGCACAGGAAGACCACACCTGACTGTCGGAGAGCTCCAACATCGTGGCCCTGGCCTACTGGCACCAGCCCAACTGCACCCTCTCCCCACTGCAGCCTCCCTTATGTCTCTTTGCCAGCAAGCACTTGCCCACAGCCACACTCTCATTGTTTTGCTGGCACACACATAGGCAAGTAGACTTTGCCTTTCCTTCACTTGCTGGCACAAGGGTGCACATACACCCTACTGTGCCATTGCCCAACAGCAGCCCTCCAGAGTTAGACCACACAGCCCAGGAGTGCTGAGCTGAGCCTTGCCTGCACCAAAACGTACCAGAAATGAAGCCAGTAAACTGAACCCACCTTATACAATGACCAAACCCCCAAGGATGTCAAAGAAAAGAAAAAGCAAATAATCATAATAATGAAAATTCCTCGCTGGGCACAGTGGCTCATGCCTGTATTCCCAGCACTCTGGGAGGCTGAAGCAGGTGGATCACGATGTTAGGAGTTAGAGACCGGCCTGGCCAACATAGTGAAACCCCGTCTCTACTAAAAATACAAAAAATTACCTGGGCATGGTGGCAGGCACCTGTAATCCCAGCTACTCGGGAGGCTGAGGCAGGAGAATCACTTGAATCCAGGAGGCGGAGGTTGCAGTGAGCCGAGATCGTGTCATTGCATTCCAGCCCGGGTGACAGTGCAAGACTCCGAAAAACAAACAAACAAACCAACAATAACAACAACAACAACAACAAAACAAAGAATAGCAACTTCTTGAAGGAAAGGATTGAAGAAAAATCAGCCCACACATATGAGAAAGAAACAGCACAAGCACTCTGGCAACTCAAAAAGCCAGAGTGTCTTCTTACATCTAAATTAACACAGTAGTATCCCAGCGATGAATCTATTTTTAATTTTTAATTTTTGTAGGTACATAGTAGGTGTATATATTTATACATGCACATGGCACATACTCAAAATTGACAACACGATCAGACATAAAACATTCCTCAGCAAATTTTAAAAAATCACACAAACCACACTCTCGGACCACAGTGCAATAAAAATAAAAATTAATACTAAGAAAATCATTCAAAGCCATATAATTACATGAAGTTAAACAACTTGCTCCTGAATGACTTTGGAGTAAACAATGAAATTAAGGCAGAAATCAAGAAATTATTTGAAACTAATGAGAACAAAGATATAATATATTAGAATCTCTGGGACACAACTAAAACAGTGTTAAGAGGGAAGTTTATAGCACTAAACACCCACATCAGAAACTTAGAAAGATCTCAATTTAACAACCTAACATCACAACTAGAGGAGCTAGAGAAACTAGAGCAAACCAACCACAAAGCTATCAGAAAAGAAATATCCAAAATCAGAGCTGAACTGAAAGAAATTGAGATGCTAAAAACCATAAAAAACATTAATGAATGCAGGAGTTGGTTCTTTGAAAAAAATTAATAAGACAGATAGACTGCTAGCTAGATAAAGAAAAAAAGAGAAAATTTAGATAAACACAATCGGAAATTTCAAAGAGGACATTACCACTGACCCCAAAGAAATACAAAAACCCGCAGAGACTATTATGAACATGTGTATGTATGCACACAAACTAAAAAACCTGAAAGAAATGGATAACTTGTTTGACACATACAACCTCTCAAGACTAAACCAGGAAGAAATTGGATCCCTGAACAAATACAAAATGAGGTCCAAAATTGAATCAGTAATAAATAGCCTTCCAACCAGAAAAAGCCCAGAACCAGACAGATTCACAGTGAGTTTCTACCAGATATGTAAAGAGGAGCTAGTACCATTCCTGTGGCAGGCCAGGTCTCACTAACACAGACCTCCCTAACAACTGTTTCAGTACTGACTGAGTGGTTATTAAAAGCCGATAAAGCTTTACCTATCAGCTTTTAATAACCACTCAGGATGGAATGTAACAAAAGCCCACCAACAGTTTTGCCTAGGCCTTTCCTGGGCCTTAAAGCATGACAAGATAATGACGGAATTCTTAACAGGACCTGTTTAGGATTAAATAAGTTTTATTGGGAGTATGGAGAAACTCCGCAGGCCTCCACAAACAAGCTTTATTGGGGACTAAAGGAACTCCCCAAACCTCCATGATTTAGCAGGAGACGAGATAAGGGTAATCACCCCAGCAGCTAGACCCATCTAAGTTAAGTAAATTTACTGAGGCTCCAGAGGAAGGTCTTCAGGACTCAGATCTTAGTTATAGATTAAAAGAAGTTAATCACTTATGTCTTTAAATGAATGCACACTTAGATGTAGACACATAGCTTAGAAGGTATATAAGCTCTGAAAGACTGTAATTTTGAGTTGGTCCGGCAATATTTTTCAGGCCTTGTCCCTGTAACTGGTTACAGAAATAAAAACTCTCTTCCCCCCTAGTTCATCTGCATCTTGTTATTGGGCCACAAGAAATAGCAGCCCGAACCTCAGTTTGGTCTGGGAACATTCCTACTGAAATTATTCTATAATATGGAGAAAAAGGGACTCTTCCCTAACTCATTCTACGAGGCCAATATCATCCTGATACCAAAACCTGGCAGAGACACAACAAAAAAAGAAAACTTCATGCAAATATACTTGATGAAAGTAGATGCAAAAATTCTCAACAAAATACTAGCAAACTGAATTCAGCAGCACATAAAAAAGTTAATCACCATGATCAAATAGACTTTATTCCTGGGATACAAGTTTGTTTCGACAAATGCAAACCAATAAATGTGATCTGTCACAGAAACAGAACCGAAAATAAAATTCTCATTTGTATCTCAAAAGATACAGAAGGGGATTTTGATAAAATTAAACTTCCCTTCATGTTAGAAACACTCACCAAACTAGGCATTGAAGGAGCCTGCTTCAAAACTATGAGTCATCTATGACAAATCCGCAGCCAACATCATACTGAATGAGCAAAAGCTGGATGCATTGCCTTGAAAATTGGAACAAGACAATAATGCTCTCTCTCTCACCACTGCTATTCAAAACAGTGCTGGAAATCCTGGACAGAGCAATCAGACAAGAGAAAGAAATAAAAGGCATCCAAATAGGATGACAGCAAGTCAAACTGTCCTTGTTTGCAGGTGATATGATTCTATACCTAGAAAACTCCATAGTCTCTGTCAAAAAGCTCCTTGATCTGATAAACAACTTAAGCAAAGTTTCAGGATACAAAATCAATGTACAAAAATTGGTAGCATTCCTATACACCAATGACATCCAAGCTGGGAGCCAAATAAAGAATGCAATTCCAGTCACAATAGCCACAAAAAGAGAACAATATCTGGGGAAACATCTAACCGGGAAGGTGAAAAACCTCTATAACAAGAATTGCAAAACAGTGCTCAGAGAAATTAGAGATGACACAAACAAATGGAAAAGCATTCCATGCTAATGGATAGGAAGAATCAATATTGTTAAAACAAACATAGTGCCCAAAGCAATTTACAGACTCAATACTATTTCCATCAAACTAACAAAGACATTCCTCACAGAATTAGAAAAGCTATTTTAAAATTCATATGGCACCAAAAAGCCCTAATAGTCAAAGCAATCCTAGGCAAAACGAAAAAAGCTGGATGCATCACATTACCCGACTTCAAACTATATTACAAGGCTACACAGTAACCAAGATAGGGTGGAACTGGTACAAAAACAAGCACA
Organism: Homo sapiens; assembly: GCF_000001405.40. Taxonomy (NCBI): domain Eukaryota; kingdom Metazoa; phylum Chordata; class Mammalia; order Primates; family Hominidae; genus Homo; species Homo sapiens. Next base: position 92,297,504 of record NC_000023.11, on the reverse strand, counting down.
TTGACCACTGCAATGGATTAGAAAGCCCAGAAATAAAGCCGCATACCTACAACCATCTGATCATTGACAAAGTCGACAAAAACAAGCAATGTGGAAAGGACTCTCTATTCAATAAATAGTGCTGGGATAACTGGCTAGCCATATGCAGAAGATTGAAACTGGACCCCTTTCTAACACCATATACAAAAATCAACTCCAGATGGAATAAAGACCTAAATATAAAACCTAAAAGTACAAAAACACTGGAAGATAACCCAGGAAAGACCATTCTGGACATAGGACCTGGCAAAGATTTTATAACAGAGAAATCAAAAGCAATTATGACAAAAAAATAATTGGCAAATGATATCTAATTAAACTAAAGAGCTTCTGCATAGCAAAAGAAACTATGAACAGAGTAAACAGGCCACCTACAGAATGGGAGAAAATATTTGCAAACAATGCATCCAACAAAGGTCTAATATCCATAATCTGCAAGGAATATATATGTGAAAAAATGTTCAACATCACTAATCATTAGAAAAATGCAAATCAAAACAACAATAAGATACCATCTCACACTAGTCAGAATGTCTATTATTAAAAAGTTGTAAAATAACAGATACTGGTGAGGGTGTGGAAAAAACAGAATGCTTATGCACTGATGGATGGAATGCAAATTTGTTCAGCCATTGTGGAAAGCAATGGCAATTTCTCAAAGAACTTAAAACAGAATTACCATTCAACCCAGCAATCCCATTATTGGGTATAGTCCCAAGGAATATAAATCATTCTACCATAAAGACACATGCACATGGATGTTCATTGCTGCACTAGTCACAGTAACAAATACATGGAACTACCTAAACACCCATCAATAGTATACTGGATTAAAACAATGTGGTACATAGGTATCATGGAATACTATGCAGCCATAAAAAAGAACAAGATCATGTCTTTTGCAGCAACATGGATGGAGCTGGACGCCATTGTCCTAAGCAAGCTAACACAGGAACAGAAAACCAGATACCACATGTTCTCACTTATAAGTGGGAGCTAAATATTGAGTACACAAGAACACAAAGAAGGGGACAACAGCCATCGGTACCTACTTGAGGGTGGTGGGTCGGGGGAGGGTCAGGACCAACAAACTACCTGTCAGGTACCATGCTTACTACCTGGGTGATAAAATAATCTGTATATTTAACTCCTGTCACATGCAATTTATCTGTATAACAAACCTGCACATGAATACCAAAACCTAAGATAAAAGTTTAGAAAAAAAACCTAGTGAACCAAATTCAGCAATGTACAAAAATAATTATACACCATAATCAAGTGGGATTTATTCCAGGGATCCAAGACTGATTCACCATAGGAAAATCTATCATATAGCAAATCAATAAAATAAGAAACAAAATGCACATGATTTTTTTTTTTTTTGAGACAGAGTTTCGCTCTTGTTGCCCAGACTGGAGTGCAATGGCACGATCTCGGCTCACTGCAACCTCGCCTCCCGGGTTCAAGCGATTCTCCTGCCTCAGCCTCCCAAGTAGCTTAGACTACATGTGTATGCCACCATGCCCAGCTAATTTTTTGTGTTTTTTTAGTAGAGATGAGGTTTCACCATGTTAGCCAGACTGGTCTCGAACTCCAGACCTCAGGGGATCCGCCCGCCTAGGCCTCCCAAAGTGCTGGGCTTACAGGCATGAGCCACGGTGCCCAACCCACATGATCTTTTTAATAGACACACACACACACACACACACACACACACACACACACAAACACACCTGTCAAAATCCAGCATGCTTTTATGGGGATAATATTCAACACACCAGGAATAGAAGAAAACTTTCTGAACCTAATGAAGGGCATTTATTAAAAACCCACAGCTAACATCATAATTAATGATGAAAGATTGGGTGCTTTCTCACTAAGACCAGGAAAATAACAGTAATATCCACTCTTGCTCATTTCTAACGTGTTGCACTGGAGGACCTAGCGAAGATAATTATGCAAAACAAAAATGATAATAACAATAAGAAACAAAATTCATACAGATTGGAAAGGAAGAAGTAAAACTATCTCTATTTGCAGATGACATGATCCTGTATATAGAATATTCTAAGGAATCTACGAAAATTATTAGAAATAACGAGAGTCCAGCAAGGTTGCAGGATATAAGATCAATATAGAAAAATCAACTATATTATTCAGTTTATTTAGTTTTTGTTCACTTTTAGACATGACCAATATAAATAACACATATACTTAACTTTTGGGCAGATTTATATCATTTTAATGCTTTCTCAGTTCTATGATTACTTACAGTTCAGTGCTTACCATATTATTCATGAGTCATATTCTGTTTGCATTTACCCTTTGCAAAATTTAAGTTACTATTCACGATGATTTTCTCAATACTTTTGGTTTCAGTAAAAGTTTTCTTAACCATTCATGAAACTACATTTATCTAGTTATTCCAATTAGTTAACAAATACTATAAATTACTTCTTTTTAAGTATTTACTATTTTGGCTTCTAGAAGAGAGTTTAAAATAGCTGAGGTAGAAATAGATAACTTTGAAATTTCTGTGACTCCCTTAGTTTTACAATGTGTGATGCTTCATTGTATTAAATTCAAGATAATAATAGCAATTTGCTCACCAAAGAGTACACACATATGTTTCTCTAGGGCCTTGAATCCAATAATTACTATTTATTTTTATGAATCTCCAAACAGCAGTTCTCTGAGAAGATGCTTTTATTTTACAAGTGAAACCCTAAGCTCTTCTTGATGCGATCTAGCATATAGCAGCTCCAGGACAATCATTTATGAAAATTTATCTTTGTAGTCATTTTGGGTCCTCTTGTTTTTCCCCAAGACCACAGCTCCTAAAATGTATAAACAAAATGGAAATGTCCATTCCTGTTGATTATTGTAATGTTTTGTGTAGCTGTCTTCTTAATTAATGAGCATATTTCAAGGAGATTAAGATAGATTGGAATAAAAGCCAATAATATTGCTAGAATTTATGCCAGGATAAAATGCTCTAATGTTTTTAATAAACTTCAGAATTGGCAGGGCACAGTGGCTCACAGCCTGTAATCCCAGCAATTTGGGAGGCTGAGATGGGTGGGTCGCCTGAGTTCAGGAATTCGAGACCAGCCTGGCCAACACGGTGAAACCCTGTCTCTACTACAAATCCAAAACTTCAGCTGGGCGTGGTGGTGGGTGCCTGTTATCCCAGCTACGTGGGAAGCTGAGGCAGGAGAATCACTTGAACCTGGGAGGTGGAAGTTGCAGTGAGCCAAGATCATGCTATTGCACTCCAAACTGAGCAACAAGAGCAAAACACCATCTCAAAATAAATAAATAAATGAATGAATAAATGAATAAAATAAACTTGAGAATCTTTAATAAATTTTAGAATCATTTTAGATTTCAAAAAATGTTGCAAATTTAGTACAGGTAGTCTTTCTCTACACCCATTTTCCCTGTTGTTAACATCTTACATTATTATAATACATTGTGCCACAACTAATGAACCAATATATCTATACACTATTATTAACTAATTTTTACTTTATTTCTATTTCTTAATGTCTTTTCTCTGACCCAGGATCCCATCTAGGGTTCCACATTACATCATTTAGTCATCATATCTCCTTCAGCGCATCTTGACTATGACAGTCGTCAGGTTTTCCTTGTTTTTGATGACCTTGGTAGTTTTGAGAAGTACTAGTTAGGTATTTTATAGAATGTCCTTCAATTCAATTTGGGAAAAGCTCAAGAGTTTTTCATTGAGATTTCGTAACAGAAGAGACAAAGATGTGCTTCTGCGTGCCAAAATAGTCTTTGGAACATGTTCACAGCTTTAGTTCTTTTTTTTTTTTTTTTGAGACGGAGTCTCGCTCTGTCGCCCAGGCTGGAGTGCAGTGGCGCGATCTCGGCTTACTGCCAGCTCCGCCTCCTGGTTCACTCCATTCTCCTGCCTCAGCCTCCCGAGTAGCTGGGACTACAGGCGCCCGCTACCACGCCCGGCTAATTTTTTGTATTTTTTGTAGAGGCGGGGTTTCACTGTGTTAGCCAGGATGGTCTCGATCTCCTGACCTCATGATCTGCCCGCCTTGGCCTCCCAAAGTGCTGGGATTACAGGCCTCAGCCACCGTGTCTGGCCCACAGCTTTAGTTCTATGTTATAGAACTCTATTACCATTCCAAAGTTCTTCATTAAATTTTATTCAGTGTTGCTTTTAATTTTACTTTTAGTCACACTGGAATATTTTATTTAAATGAAAAACTGTATTGGATGCCACTCCTCAGAAACAATTTTCTGTTAAACTTGACATCAAAAATGACATTTTAGTGTCACTGAGATGTGCCTCTTAGTTCATTTTTCTCCTCACTTTATTTTCTGTAGAAGACATTTTCATGTAATTAAATCTTCCTAGTACACGGTCACAGCTAAAATCCCTGCATATGTGCACACATATACAGCATGACAACTGCCTTGGCAAAAGGCTCTTTGTTTTCCTGAATGGTTCCTTTATGACCTTCAGTCACTGGCTGTTATTGATTCCTGAAACAAATATGATTCTTTCTTGGTTTTACTAGGCACACTCTCTCTTGTTAATTACTTTTAGTTCAAATCACTTTGCATTTCGTTAAGGTCAACAAATTGAAGGAATTGAATAATTCATTGCTGGACTTTCACTGCAGTTCTTTTTCCTCTACATCTCAGTTCTTTGAATACCAATAAAAAATAAAAACATTTTTTTCTTTGTCTATTGTTCCCAATAGTAACTGTGTGCGATTCTGTGTATGTGCTGGCAGGGAGGTGTGCAGTGGTGTAGGGCACCAACAGAAAGATTACATAGCAAAAGGTAGAAAGACATCTTCCTTGAATGTTTTCTTTTTGACTTTTCTTATTTTCCTTCTCAGGAGGTTGTGGCTTCAGTAAATGACAGTTTCATTCTACTGTTAAGAGAGGCATTTTTAAAAATCACCCTCTATATACCTAATTTTAAAAGTCTTCTGAATTCTTTCAATAAAATAGAACAAGACATAATCTGAACCAGCAGGTAGTACTTAGAAATGCGTTTCATGAAAAGCTTGCATAAGTATTTATAAAATGAGAGTGAGAACATTTAAAGAACAAGTGTGCAGGTAAAATGTTCCAGCAACATGCAAAAACATTAAGGATACTTCCAATTTATGAATGTTCTGTTCTTTTCTTTAAAAAGATACCTGCTGATTGTTATGACATTCAAAATATTTTTTTCCAAAATAATTTTTTTTTCTGCAGCAGACTTTGAGAAGTCTTTGCACATTGATCAGTCACTTCATTATTTCTAAAATTTAAATGACTTTGCATCCATAATCCAGAAAGACAAGATTAACTATATATTTTATGCATATTAGGTTGTAACTATTACATATAGTACCCAGTATATTATGGTCCACATTTTATTGGATTGCATGTGACCACTGCTAACAACCAAAGTGATGCATTTCACATTTTGCATTCTTTCTATTCAGAGCTGATTTTCCAAATAGTCTCCAAAATGGATAAAGACAATGAATTATTTTAATTATTTTTTGCTTTTGTGTTCATGCTTTTTTTTCTTTTTTCTTTCTCTTTTTTTTTGTTTTTGAGACAGAGTCTTTACATTTTCATAATGCCCTATGGTAGACTAAGTCATGATTTGAAAGTATTTCAGTGGCTATAAATCATGTGTCTGATGCTCTTGTCCAAGATATGACTTTTCCATCTCTGGGCATTCAAGTATATAAACACTCTGTTTCATTTCCAAAGATGAAAAGTAAGCATATAGTTTTAGTTATAGCTTATGGAACTTGTTCAAAAGTAGGAAACACACAACAGAACTAAAAACTAATAATCTTTAATATATTATTAAGCAACAGAGTAATTAGATAGTTCATTTTGCTAGCTTAAGACCTCATACCCATTTTTAACCTATATTAATTCCATGCACAGACGTTAAAAGGTTGGAATTGGGTTACAGAAGATGTGTGTTGTAATTTACTGAACCTAAAAAGTTACAAACATGGTTTATCCATCTGTGAGGCCCTTCTGTATGGTAGGAGGGTAAAACTTCTATGCTTTTAACAAATGGGAATATTTTTCTGAAACTGTGTTTAATTATTTACAGTTACCAAATGTATATACAGGATACAGGATATATGCCTCTTCTCCTCAAACACACATAGACTTTATAGTATTTTATAAGAAAAAAATCTTTGGAAAGAAAATAATGTATCAGTATGCTTTAACAAATGAAAAATTTCTGGGCTGGGCGAAGTGGCTCACACCTGTAATCTCAACACTTTGGGAGGCCCAGGTGGGAGGATCATTTGAGCCCAGGAGTTCCAGAACAGCCTGGGAAACATAGTAAGACTGCATCTCTACAAAAAACCAACAACAACAAAAAATAGCTGGGCATGGTTGCAGACACCTGTGGTCCCAGCTACTCGGGAGTCTGAGGCAGGAGAATCCCTTGAGCCCAGAAGGTCAGTGCTGCAGTGAGTCATGTATGTGCCACTGCACTCCAACGTGAGTTACAGAGAGAGACACTGTCTCAAAAAAAAAAAAAAGACAAAAGAAAATAAATGTTTCTCAGTTCATCTTTCATCCACTAACTACATCCTCAATGTAAACTATTTTATAAATCTTGTAATTATAAATCTTGTTACTTAAAAGAAATACATGGTGGTGCATTGTTACTAATATACAAGTACAAATACTATACAATAACTTTGCCTCCTGAAATAACGTGATTGATGAAAAGGGCCCAATAACTTCAATCAGGTTTATTTATCTAGTTTGAAAATATTTGCCCACTTAGTTATGCCACTGTTTATTCATTGCAAAATATTAAACACATTTTAGACAAACATGACAACATAAGAGGATAATTTCTTCAAACACTTGATTTTCCACTTCTACAAACAGTGAATTTGATTTTTCCACAAGTCAACACGCTGATATGTTTCTATAATATCACTAGACATATCTTTGCTATGACTGCTGTTTATGATTCTGAAATGATGGCATGATGTGTTATTTAGGAAGTGGAACCTGGTTAAAACACATTCTGTGGAGCCAAATGTTAAAAGTCAATTGCTCCTTTCTGGTTATTTCATTGAATGGCTTTAACGATGTGTTTTAACTGCCGAGTGAATCCGTGAAAGTGATACACTGATTCTAACTTCTCTCTAATCATGATGGAAAAATAACCATTTGATGTAAAAGGTTGTAAAAATTAGCAAATTTTATGTCTGATCATCCCTAATATACATACATACAAATGGAAGGTGAATAAGAAATGAAGGTATAATTAGTACTCACTAATTTGATTCATAATTGTTTTATTAGATGTCAAATAAATAAGAACAGTTGCATTATCATAAAACTGTAGCTGATAAAAAATTATTTGATCGAAATTGCAGCTATAATTAACAATTTTAAATGTTACCTCTATCATTCCCACTATTAACCTTATATAAAAGAAGTGTTTTAAACTAATATGTTTCAGATTCCTTTCTATGACTTACTTTCTTTAAAAATATAGTATATATGATTTAGGAAAATATGAACAAATGATAAGCTTTCCTGGGAAATATTTGTTAAGTAAGCTGACAGATATTTCTATGAAATTATTCATATGAAAATTATGATCTGCATTAGTTATTTAAAAGAACAAAAGTAAATAGTTGTCTGTGTAATAAATTATGCTTTTAGGCAATATTGTTCCTACTATTACTGAGTCTACACAGTAAAAACATAGTTGCATTTTTTAAATGAGTTGAAGTATCTGACCTAGTCATAACAGTGGTTTGCTATTTATTTACATGTGAACATCCTCACAATGTTCACATGTAAATTTGTTTTCCCTCTTGTTCTAACCCAATAGTACTCAGCCCTTAGTTTACTAAAATGTATTAAAATCACATTTAACTTTTCCATTTTAAGTACATTTGTTCATATTCATCAGTGCGTAAGTACTCATTTATAAGTGAAAGCTGAAATAAATGGAGTTGTCATTTAAATCATGAAAATACAGTTATTTAATTTTATGATGCTTCAGAAGCTACGTTTTAGCCCTTGCTTTAACAAGTTGGAATAATTGAGCCTCATTTCCAATAGAAAAAACAACTTGAATAAATATTCAACCTCGGTGTGCTGTATATTGCGTCTATTGAGAAGACAGTAGATATATGATTCCAATGTGATTTTAAATACCTGATCTGAAATTCTTTGTAATCCTTCATAACGCATATAATAGTAATAGCTTATATTTTAATATATTTTTAATCATATGAATAAAAACTCAGTGATAAATCTTGAAGGAATTTCTGCAAATAGAATTGTTATGCAGTCAATAAAGAACAACCATAAAAATTGAAACGGGTGAAGTTGTGACTCTATTTGATAGTTCCAATACAAAATTTACTAAAATACAAAATACTCATAGTCTATTATTAAAGCAAATATTTTCAGTATTTTAGCTGATGATTCATAATTCTTAAATAAATAGAAATTATAGCGGGATCAACTGCAGAGTGATTACCTTTCAATACAGCATTCATTAATTTCTCTTTTACATTATAAAAATTTGGTCAATTATAAAATTAAGAAAATATATTCATTTCCATGAAACACTCTTAAAAACATTTGACCTTCAGACAAAATTATTTACTGGGATGATATAAAACCTGGTACATGTTTTTGAAAAAAACCACATCAAGATTAAAATCTATAATTAAATTCTTAAAACAAATCACAGAAATACTGTATACATTTCCTCTGATTTTTATTTTTCCATACTGACAATAAAATTTAACCAATGAAAATACCAAGGCATGTGCAAAGAAATGACGTCCTACCTTGATTAACAGTAAAAATAAACAGATATTTTAAGTCTGGAATTTATTGATACAGCCTTAGAAGTAACTAATTCATTAGCCGGGCATGGTGGCACATGCCTGTAGTACCAGCTACTCAGGAGGCTGAGGCAGGAGAATCGCTTGAACCCGGGAGGTGGAGGCTGCCACTGCACTCCAGCCTGGGCGACAGAGCAAGACTCTGTCTCAAAAAAAAAAAAAAAAAGAAGTAACTAACTCAAAATTTGTAGTGACCTCAGTGTCTCCAAGTGACTTAAGGTCCTTTCATAATAGTAGAACATTTCTTCCTAAAAGGTAGTATAAGAACCTACTAGCTACAGAAAGGAAAAACTATAGCAGACCTCTTGAACAGGGCTAAAATTCCCAGAAATGGCCATTAATTTTGGTTTCTTCAATCTCTGCATCTAAAAAGAAAATGCATTTCCATAGTGATACATTAAATGCAGTAGCATGGATCGTGTATTAGTCTGTTCTCACACAGCTATAAAGAACTACCTGAGACTGGGTAGTTTATAAAGAAAAGAGGCTTATTCAGCTCACAGTTTTGCAGGCTATACAGGTTTATGCTTCTAGGGAAGCCTCAGGAAACTTACGGTCATGGCAGAAGGGGAAGAGGAAGTAAGCACAGTCTTCACATGGCCAGAAGGAGGGAGAGAGAGTGAAGGGGAAAGTGTTACACACTTTCAGACAACCAGATCTCGTAAGAACAAACTCACTATCACAAGAACAGCAAGGGAGAAATATGCCCCCATGAGCCAATCACTTCCCACCAGGTCCCTCCTACAACATTGGGGATTGCAATTCAACATGAGATTTGGGTGGGACACAGAGCTAAACCATATCAGATCTATTTTAGTAGAATTAGCTAGCTATCAATTTATTAGCGTGCGAAGCCTAAAGAAATAATATACTGCATAAGAAAATGTTGATTTAGGAAAGCTTAAAACAAAAGAAAAGGAAGAAAATTCTAGGTTCCAGGTAATGTCCAAATAATGCTGGATCGTACAGGACAGTGCAACACTAGTATCAGGGTTGCTGGTTGATTGAATGAGCACATTAAATGCTGTAGTGGGAAGACAGAATGCCAACGGTGGATACTGAATGAGAAGTATTCTGGGAGAGGTGAAAAAGAAGCTAACACAGGAACAGAAAACCAAATACTGCATGTTCTCACTCACAAGTGGGAGTTGAGCAATGAGAACACTTGGACACAGAGGCAGGAACAACACACACCAGGGCCTGTCAGGGGGTGGTGGACAAGGGGAGGGAGAGCATTAGGACAAATACCTAATATATGTGGGCTTAAAACCTGTATGACAGGTTGATAGGTTCAACAAACAATCATGGCTCATGGACACCTATGTAACAAACCTGCACATTCTGCACATGTATCCTGAAACTTAAAGTAAAATACAATAAAATAAAATATAAAATAAATAAGAGAAAAGAAGCACTATTTTCACATTCTGTTTTTTACTGACAGTCAATTCCAACAACAAACCACTAGTTTGGCACCCATTGTCTTAAAGTCACGTAAATACAGTGTATTGAATCATACTATCATTAATAATAACGATAATATATAAACTTTGCATGGCACCAATATGTTCCAGGCACTGTTTAAATCATTTTTAGATACATGAACTTATTTAATATTCACTTACTTAAAACTTACAATAACCCAGTGAGATAAGTATGATTATTATTCCCATCTTACAAACTGGAGAAAGACTTCTTTTTATCATTTAAAATACTTTCATGTTTGTAGATGTGAGATCATTTTAGGAGAACCTATATTTATAGATTATAATTCCTTCTTGCTATATAATTCTATTCCAGATTTTCAGTTGTAGCTACTTTGTTCTTTTTCCATCTTTCAGTAGCATTTAATAAGTAAACTAAATCCTTGAAGAGATAATCTCCAAAATTGGAACTAGTGAGACCATTTAGTAGAACTTACTTCATCTAGTCATCAGTTCAAAAATATGAAAGCCCATTTAATCTAGAATGAAATAAGTGGTCTCTTTGAAGGAAGAGACCTGAATTGTATTTATTTGATTTTCCTTTTGTTTATCTTATTTTATTTTCACTTTCTTTGTACTATATCTGCTTGCTTTTCCTTTCCTTTTTTTTTTTTTTTTACTTTTTGAATTTTATTTAAAACCTTAAGAGGAACAATGCTTAACTTCTCACTTTATTTTTCAAAATGTCAGCTGGACTTTCTGTTAACCTTTAATACCCCTAAATTAAAAGATAATTCTGAATCTTCTGTGAAATGCTGGAATATTTGTATGCACCAACATTAAATAATTTTTTCCTGGGCTCATTGATGAGAAGCAAAGCAAAAATTACGTAGGCGTGATAAAGCTGTGATGGCTTTATCTTTAGCCATGATGATCTTTTGTTAGGAACAAGCCCCCAAATCTGGCCATAAACTGGCCCCAAAACTGGCCATAAACAAAATCTCTGCAGCACTGTGACATATTCGTGATGGCCATGATGCCCATGCTGAAGGTTGTGGGTTTACCGGAATGAGGGCAAGAAACACCTGGCCCACCCGGGGCGGAAAACCACTTAAAGGTGTTCCTAAACCACAAACAATAGCATGAGCGATCTGTGCCTTAAGGACATGTTCCTGCAGCAGATAACTAGCCAGAACCCATTCCTTTGTTTCGGCCCATCCCTTTGTTTACCATTAATCTATAATCTATAGAAACAATGCTTATCACTGGCTCGCTGTCAATAAATATGTGGGTAAATCTCTGTTCCTGGCTGTCAGCCCCCTGATTTCCCACTCCACACTCTATATTTCTGTGTGTGCGTCTTTAACTCCTCTAGGGCCACTGGGTTAGGGTCTCCATGACCGAGCTGGTCTCAGCAATCTTTAATTAATGGCTATTCCTTATATATGCACAGAATAATAAATAATTTGTCAATATGTTTCCTTGTTTTCAGTTTTAGTTCCCTGACAAAATTCAAACCTAAAGCACATATGTTATTACACACACAGATTGACTTACTACTTTTATAAAAATTTTCTACAGGCTGAGTGCAGTGGCTCACACCTGTAATCCCAGCACTTTGGGAGGCCGAAGCGGGCGGATCACCTGAAGTCAGGAGTTCGCGACCAGCCTGACCAACATGGAGAAACCCCATCTCTACTAAAACTACAAGATTTGCCGGGCATGGTGGTGGGGGCCTCTAATCCCAGCTACTCAGGAGGCTGAGGCAGGAGAATCGCTTGAACCCTGGAGGCGGAGTTTGCGGTGAGCCGAGATCGCGCCATTGCACTCCAGCCTGGGCAACAAGAGTGAAACTCCGTCTCAAAAAAAAAAAAAAAAAAAAAAAATTCTACAGTCTAACAGAAAATCCATACTCTATAATGATGTGGGACTAGTATCATAGATTTTGCCAGCACGTCTGCATCATATTGCCTGCTAATATCATAACAACAATAATAACAATAATAAACTGGGCACTGAATAAAAGTCATCTTTCATCACAATAAAAAGCATCTGTGCTTGTGTCTTCATTGCAATATCAGTATAGATTGCATGTATTCCATCTGCAGTGATTAGGAGGCGAAAACAGAGGGAAAAAGTGGAAAAAAGTGCTTTTAATGTCTATGGGCTTCCAGATGCCACAGTTCACTAGCTACACAAATTGTTTCTAAGCAATTTGGCGTATCTTATCAAGTCCTTCAGATTAAATTTAAAATGCAGTCCCATATGTGATAATATAATGTTTTATGTACCAGACCCTAGAGTTCCAGCTCATTTTTAGATGCTTCTGCAACAAAGCCGTTGAGAGTTGGTGCCAGATTTTCCCACAAATAAAATCTATATATTACATTAGAAAATATTCTGTTCAAACATAAAAATAAACTGTGATTTGTAGGCAGTAGAAATATTTTTGTACACAATTTTAGCTTTCTTAAAAGCTTCTAAAAAGAAAAGTGGGCTTGCCTCGCAGCAAAAATGGTTCTCATCCTGCGTTTTCTGACAGTCATTAGGGGTACCAATATGGAAGAGGGTCAGTAATAACAATTTCCCTCTTTCTCAGAACTATCTTAAATCCTGCTAACAGTGGATTAAAATATATTGTTTTGTTTTTTAGTCTAGTAAAATATAAAGCAAGAAACTTTACAGCAGGTATAAACACAACTTGTTTTTATTAAAATATTTAATTGCTTAAAAAGCAAATAGTAATTTATAATGTCTAATAACTGGACACAGTCCCACACACATTCTATTCTATACATGTTGCTTTGAATTTTTTATCTTTGTAATAATGCAATTAGGAAGCAGAACTTTAGAACTAGCAGGAATAAATATGAACCATTATAGTGATTAACATTAATGACTAAGTTTCTCCAAAGTGTAGTAAAGAACGATGAGACTATTTTATATTGGTCACTAAATTTACATACGTAGGTTGATTCATGTTGGCAGTGATTGGCTACATTGAGTATCAATAGAACTCTAAATAGAATTCACAGGTGCTGTCTTAATTTGAATTTTATTAGGAAAAATTAGCTATAACAATCAGTTTATAAGGAAAGTTCAGTTTGTAATTGTATAAAATCTGAAATTGTGAACATGCTAAAAGAAACCTGGATAATTTTGTCAACTAAGGAAAAAGGAAGCTTGTTCAAAATGAGAACTTGTAAGTCCATTAATGAACATTGTTTAAAGTTCATCAAGAAAAAATAAAGGACAGTAAAGTAAGAGAAATATGTCTACCTTCATTCCACACTGAATTTCATGTAAGAAAAAATTTAATCTAATGAGTCCAAGATATACACCTCAAGTAAAAATAATTTCTATGAGCCTCTATAGCTAGTGAAAAGTGAATGAATGGAATAAATATGCTTAGACACACTGGACATTTTATGTGATAATATAACAATTCATATGGCACTATACGCAAAATTGTCCATCAGATCATGAAAAGTGCTAATCCCTTGGTGTTAGAAAATCATACGATTTGTAGAACTTGATGTGGAATTACGGAGAAAACCAGACATTAGAAACCTAAACATTGTTGTAAGTAGCAAAAATAAAATGAAATAAAGCCCTCACTAAATCACTGACTCATCAATATTAGGCATAAAATGAAAGCTGGATTAAAAGAAAATCTTCCATTGTGATAGGGCAAAGGCATCCATAGAAGTTCAGTGCATTCTGCTTTAATTACACTGCAACACTGTACACTCAAATGGCTAGAGACTTAGCAGCAATATTAAAGGAAGATCACTTCTATAAAAACTTGAAGTAAATCCTTATTAACATAGTCTTTCTTACCAACAGGAAAGAAAGGGGCAAGCAAATTAATAATTTTTTCTGTACAACCCATTACAGCATAACTTGAGTGATCTATTCAGTTTAAAATATCTGTTTTTATATGGTACTAAGTATTGCCATAGGTGTTGCTAAAATGATTAATCCTAATTGGAATTATCATGTAGAGATCTGGGAATGTTTATTGCTTTATCTTGATTCTGTCAATTTAATTTTTTTTGCTTAGGAGATCTGGCTCTAGAATTATATTGAGGCTTCAAATCCCAGCTTCACATACTTCTTGGCACATGACATGAGCTCAATAAATTCGAGCAATAATAGATCTATAGATAGATAGAGAGACAAATGTTTCCATGACTCTGATTTTTCTAATATCAAGAAGCTATGACTAATTTTGTGTGTCTTTTTAAATTTTGTGAAATAGTGCCAAAACTTTAGCATTACGGGAAATAGCATTCAATGTCTCCCAATAATGAAAAACGATAGCAATCTGCCCATAGCTTCCCAGCAGAAATACTGGAACTAATATACTCTAGGGAAGATTTCATTCTAGTTATTCACCACGGTCAAAGTTTGTTTGTTGGTAGTGAAGTTGTGTTGATTTGATAGCAAAATTGACCTGCTATCTACTAAACCATCTAGCTCATAAATATCCAGCACTGACCTAAAAAGCATAAATGCTATTTTATTTTAGCATAATTCATTGCAAAGAGCTTAACATAGCATATCATTTTATTATAGTTGTGGCATACTGTTCTTAGCTTTCTTAACTTCATCATACGTACAATATTCTACCCTCAATGTCAGATAGCTGAACGATATAGGCTTTTCAATGAACTGAATCATTTTATCTTTCAGTCCTGCAAAATATATTAAATTCTATAATTTAAAATTCTACATCTTTTTCAAAGATTGAACTAGGGTATTATTTTTGGAAGATATTAACTATGTGAGGGTTAAAATCCTGTAGGTTTTGTATTTCTTATCCATTTTTAGGAAAAAAATTTTAAGATGAACACTATAAAACTTGAACTTCAAAGTCAAAAATAAATATCTAACTTAGTCATTTATTAGCTATTTTTACAGATAATTATTTTCTAGACAGCTCCTGTGGAATTAAATAACTCCAAAACATTATTTTAGAACTTCTTATTCCCCCACTCCCTTTTCTCTCCTTCCCCTTATTTTCACTCTTTTGCTTTTCCTCCTTCTCCTCCTCCCTCCTCTGCTCCTCTTCTTGTTTTTCTCATCTTTCTCATTCTTCTTTATCTTCTTCATTTTCCTCATAGTAATTCAGGTCTAAAAAGTTTAAGTGACTTGAATAATGTCTATATCTGAATGTATATGTCACAACTTACCTTAGAATAAGGTCTAAATCTGAAGATATATCTCAGTCCCTGAGACACAGTGGGCCTTCCATAAAAGTTTGTTGAATGAAAGAATTTTTTTCATATACCATAACGTGTTTTAGAGACAGCAGAGTAATTCTTATTCTGCTACCAAATTAGTCTAAGAAGAGAATGAAGCCATTATACAGAATCTAGATGAGTTGAAAATATGAGACTGTTAGTATGTCAACATCCACAATTCACTTGTCCTCAGTTTGGACTCTAATGGAAAGAAGCCATGTGACAAGGAAGTCATAAAACCCAATTTCTGGAGATTACAGCTCCATACCTCATAGTTAAGGACTCTTAAGTTTAATTGATCTTAATTCTTCCTATACATTGTATATCACTAAACCACATTGCTATCTGTTCTTGTTTCATACTGACTAGTTTATATTAATCATATTTCCAGATCCAACTTAGTAAAGATAATCCACATTACATACCCTAATCATGGCAGTTGCCTGGGAATGTTTTAGTTTCCTTTTTAACTGGCAATTTTTCCCCAGTGCATGTATATGAACACACATAAATTAAAGTCAGGTAGAAATAGAGATGCAACTTTCTGAATGCTTGCCTTTATGAAAACAGTAGTAGCCTGTGTATGTTTCCTGGTGTACTCTTGTGTATGTATGCGTGTGTATGTGTGTTTATCAGAAGGACAAATCTGAAATGTAGAATAAGAAAAATGATTCAATATGACCTTTGGTTCAGAAATGAAGAGGTGGTTAAGTTGCTGTGGAGATAAGTAGCAGGATGATGATGCCCAGAAAAGTGCTGAGAGGATGTTAGTCTGTTTAGTTCAATGATTGCAGTTCACAAAGGGCCCTCATTCATTTATCACCACTCAAGTACCATCACCACCACTAAAAGACTTAAGATTCAGCTAGTTGGAACACAGATGCTTCTGCTTAGAATACTGTAGAGGGAACTCATTTTGAACTTTACCACATACTTTAGCAGTTCCTTGATTCATTTGCTGAAAACAATGTTTATTTTTCCTATCTCACTGATTTATTTTGGTATTGATATTAGACTAGATGTCAAGTTTTCCCCACATTTACTACTGTAAATGGTAAAGTTTTCTCCCCAGTTTACTAATGTCAATTTTTTTTTAAAAAAAATATATTTGATTAATTACATTATGCTTCAAAGGATTTGTTTGTTCAAAGTAACTCAATTGTTTCCTCATTTTCTACCTAGTTTTTATTTAGTTCTACAGCATTGCATGTTTGTATCTCATTTAATTTGGGACATAATTCTCCAGTTTAACTGAATGTGAAAGATTCAGAACTGAACAATAAAGTATACTCATATGTCAGTTAATGACAGAGATATATTCTATTATTTATTTATTTATTTATTTATTTATTTATTTATTTATTTGAGATGGAGCCTCACTCTATTGCCCAGGCTGGAGTTCAGTGGCACAATCTTGGCTCACTGCAACCTCCACCACAGCCTCCTGAGTAGCTGGGATTACAGATGCGCACCACCACGCCCAGCTAATTTTTGTATTTTAGTAGAGACAGGGTTGCACCATGTTGGTCAGGCTGGTCTCAAACTCCTGACCTCATGACTCACCCAGCACAGCTTCCCAAAGTATAAGGATTACAGGCGTGAGCCACCGCTCCTGGCTGACAATGGAGATACATTCTAAGAAATGCATCATTAGGCAATGTCTTCATTGTGCAAAAATCATAGAGTATACTTACACAAACTGAAATGATGTAGCCTACTACACACCTAGACCGAGTATGTTTGCATGTGTGCTTTTCTATGTGTATGCATGTGTATATGGTATAGCCTATTGCTTTTAGTCTACAAACCTATACAGCATGTTAGCATGTTTCTGTACTGAATACTGCACATAATTGTAACACAATGGTAGCTATTTGCGTATGTAAATGTATCTAAAAATAGAAAAGGTACAGTAAAAATACAATATTATAATCTTATGGAACAACCCATTGTATATGTGGTCCATCATTGACCAAAACTCATTATGTGGCACATGACTGTACAGGAGAAATTTACCTAATCAAAGTAACAATGGCTTTTTATTTGTTATCCTAAATCTATAAGATCTGCAGTTAATTAAGTTGAAATGTCAATATTTTGGACCTTTAAAAACGTGAAAAATATGCTGGGCAAAAACCATTCATATATTGCCAAATATGTACCAACTAATACATAGGCCAAGTAATATATTGCCAAGTAAAAGTTAAATATATTGGCAAGTAAAAGTTAATAGGAGCGTTTGTTTAAAAAGTTTAACATTATGGTTTCTGCCCAACCAACTTTATATAAGTATTACAAAGATAATAACTTGTCAATAACAATGATACAAAACTATTCTGGAGTTATGCAGCAAACAATTCCCAGAAATCACCTTTATTACAAAATACGAAACAGATCGGAGACAGTTCCTTTAATGCTAGAGATTTAAAAAATTGCATTCAATGCTGACTACGGAAAATATTAAGGGCAATATTTGTGATTTGCTCCACTACACATTTATTTTCAGGAAATAAATAAAGAGGGTAACCTGTCTTGTTAGTAAAGAGATGCATCGTTTGAAGCATGATGCACTTCAAGAAGAAAACCTAATTCTTAAATCAATGCTTAAAGTATATTTGGACAACAATAGGTTTTATTCATGAACAGTAAAACAAGCTGTTAAAGTGTATCTGATAAATATACCAGGCTAAAAGGAATCAAATATAGTGGGAAGGAGAATGCTATTTGAACAGAATAAAAATGCAATGGCTTATATGACTGACAAAAGCTAAAAAGAGGCTGGGCATGGTGGCTTACGCCTGTAATCCCAGCAGTTTGGGAGGCCGAGGCAGGTGGATCACCTGAGGTCGGGAGTTCGAGACCAGCCTGACCAACACGGAGAAACCCTGTCTCTACTAAAAATACAAAATTAGCCAGGCGTGGTGGCACACGCCTGTAATCCCAGCTACTCGGAAGGCTAAGGCAGGAGACTCGCTTGAACCCAGGAGGCGGAGGTTGCAGTGACCTGAGATCGCACCATTGCACTCCAGCCTGAACAACAACAGTGAAACTCCATCTCAAAAAAAAAAAAAAAAAAAAAACTGAAAAGAGACTGTCAGGCCTCTGAGCCCAAGCCAAGCCATCACATCCCCTGTGACTTGCACGGATATGACCAGATGGCCTGAAGTAACTGAAGAATCACAAAAGAAGTGAAAAGGCCCTGCCCCGCCTTAACTGATGACATTCCACCATTGTGATTTGTTCCTGCCCCACCTTAACTGAGTGATTAACCCTGTGAATTTCCTTCTCCAGGCTCAGAAGCTCCCCCACTGAGCACCTTGTGACCCCCGCCCCTGCCCACCAGAGAACAACCCCCTTTGACTGTAATTTTCCATTGCCTTCCCAAATCCTATAAAACGGCCCCATCCCTATCTCCCTTCACTGACTCTCTTTTCGGACTCAGCCCGCCTGCACCCACGTGAAATAAACAGCCATGTTGCTCACACAAAGCCTGTTTGGTGGTCTCTTCACACGGACACGCATGAAATTTGGTGCTGTGACTCAGATCGGGGGACCTCCCTTAGGAGATCAATCCCCTGTCCTCCTGCTTTTTGCTCCATAAGATCCACCTAGGACCTCAGGTCCTCAGATCGACCAGCCCAAGAAACATCTCACCAATTTCAAATCCGGTAAGCGGCCTCTTTTTACTCTCTTCTCCAACCTCCCTCACTATCCCTCAACCTCTTTCTCCTTTCAATCTTGGAACCACACTTCAATCTCTCCCTTCTCTTAATTTCAATTCCTTTCATTTTCTGGTAGAGACAAAGGAGACACGTTTTATCCATGGACCCAAAACTCCAGCGCTGGTCACGGACTAGGGAAGGCAGCCTTTCCTTGGTGTTTAATCATTGCAGGGACGCCTCTCTGATTATTCACCTATGTTTCAAAGGTGTCAGAAGACACAGGGATGCCTGCCTTGGTCCTTCACCCTTAGCGGCAAGTCCCGCTTTTCTGGGGAAGGGGCAAGTACCCCAACCCCTTCTCTCCTTGTCTCTATCTCTTCTCTGCTTTTCTGGGGGAGGGGCAAGTACCCTTCAACCCCATCTCCTTCACTGTTAGTGGCAAGTCCCACTTTTCTAGAGGGGTAAGTACCCCAGCCTCGTATCTCTGCGCCCCAATCCCTTATTTCCATGCCCCGACCCCTTATTTCCGTGCCCTGACCCCTTATTTCCATGCCCTGACCCCTTATTTCTGTGCCCCATCCCTTATTTCCATGCCCCGACCTCTTATCTCTGAGCCCCAACCACTTTTCCCACTTTTCTAGAAGGTAAGAACCCCCAAACCCCTTCCCTCCATTTCTCTACTCTCTCTTTCCTCTAGGCTTGCTTCCTTCGCTATAGGCAACCTTCCACCCTCCATTCCTCCTTCTACTCCCTTGGCCTGTGTTCTCAAAAACTTAAGACCTCTTCAACTCACACCCGACCTAAAACCTAAATGTCTTATTTTCTTCTGCAATGCCGCTTGACCCCAATATAAACTTGACAGTAGTTCCAAATAGCCAGAAAACGGCACTTTCAATTTTTCCATCCTACAGGATCTAAATAATTCTTGTTTTAAAATAGGCAAATGGTCTGAGGTGCCTGACATCCAGGCATTCTTTTACACATCAGTCCCTTCCTAGTCTCTGTGCCCAGTGCAACTCCTCCCAAATCTTCCTTCTTTCCCTCCTGCCTGTCCCCTCAGTCCCAACCCCAAGCGTCACTGAGTCTTTCTAATCTTCCTTTTCTACAGACCCATCTGACCTCTCCCCTCCTCGCCAGGCTGAGCTAGGTCCCAATTCTTCCACCCTATAATCTCTTTATCGCCTCCCCTCCTCACACCTGGTCCAGCTTACAGTTTCTTTCCGTGACTAGCCCTCCCCCACCTGCCCAGCAATTTACTCTTAAAAAGGTGGCTGGAGCCAAAGGCATAGTCAAGGTTAATGCTCCTTTCTCTTTATCCCAAATCAGATAGCGTTTAGGCTCTTTTTCATCAAATATAAAAATCCAGCCCAGTTCATGACTCGTTTGGCAGCAACCCTGAGAAGCTTTACAGCCCTAGACCCTAAAAGGTCAAAAGGCCATCTTATTCTCAATATACATTTTATTACCCAATCTGCTCCCGACATTAAATAAAACTCCAAAAATTAGAATCTGGCCGTCAAACCCCACAACAGGACTTGATTAACCTCACCTTCAAGGTGTACAATAATAGAAAAAACTTGCAATTCCTTGCCTCCACTGTGAGACAAACCCCAGCCACATCTCCAGCACACAAGAACTTCCAAATGCCTGACTGAACTGCAGCAGCCAGGCATTCCTCCAGAACCTCCTCCCCCAGGAGCTTGCTACAAGTGCCAGTAATCTGACCACCAGGCCAAGGAATGCCTGCAGCCCAGGATTCCTCCTAAGCTGTGTCCCATCTGTGCAGGACCCCACTGGAAATCGGACTGTTCAACTCACCTGGCAGCCACTCCCAGAGCCCCTGGAACTCTGGCCCAAGGCTCTCTGACTGACTCCTTCTTGGCTTAATGGCTAAAGACTGATGCTGCCCGATCGCCTCGGAAGCCCCTAGACCATCACGGATGCCGAGCTTCAGGTAACTCTCACAGTGGAAGGTAAGCCCGTCCCCTTCTTAATCAATACGGAGGCTACCCACTCCACATTACCTTCTTTTCAAGGGCCTGTTTCCCTTGCCTCCATAACTGTTGTAGGTATTGACAGCCAGGCTTCTAAACTTCTTAAAACTCCCCAACTCTGGTGCCAACTGAGACAATACTCTTTTATGCACTCTTTTTTAGTTATCCCCACCTGCCCAGTTCCCTTATTAGGCTGAGATATTTTAACCAAATTATCTGCTTCCCTGACTATTCCTGGACTATAGCCGCATCTCATTGCTGCCCTTCTTCCCAATCCAAAGCCTCCTTTGCATCCTCCTCTTGTATTCCCCCACCTTAACCCACAAGTATAAAATACCTCTACTCCTTCCTTCGGGACTGATCATGCACCCCTTACCATCTCATTAAAACCTAATCACCCTTACCCCGCTCAACACCAATATCCCATCCCACAGCATGCTGTAAAAGGATTAAAACCTGTTATCACTCGCCTGCTACAGCATGGGCTTCTAAAACCTATAAACTCTCCTTACCATTCCCCCATTTTACCTGTCCTAAAACCAGACAAGCCTTACAAGTTAGTTCAGAATCTGTGCCTTATCAACCAAATTGTTTTGCCTATCCACCCCATGGTGCCAAACCCATATACTCTCCTATCCTCAATAGCTCCCTCTACTACCCATTATTCTGTTCTGGATCTCAAACATGCTTTCTTTACTATTCCTTTGCACCCTTCATCCCAGCCTCTCTTTGTCTTCACTTAGACTGACCCTGACACCCATTAGGCTCAGCAAATTACCTGGGCTGTACTGCCACAAGGCTTCACAGACAGCCCCCATTACTTCAGTCAAGTCCAAATTTTATCCTCACCTGTTACCTATCTCGGCATAATTCTCATAAAAACACACGTGCTCTCCCTGCTGATCATGTCCAATTAATCTCCCAAACCTCAATCCCTTACAAAAGAACAACCCTTTCCTTCCTAGGCATGGTTAGTGCGGTCAGAATTCTTACACAAGAGCCAGGACCACACCCTGTAGCCTTTCTGTCCAAATAACTTGACCTTACTGTTTTAGCCTAGCCCTCAGGTCTGCGTGCAGAGGCTGCCACTGCTTTAATACTGTTAGAGGCCCTAAAAATCACAAACTATGCTCAACTCACTCTCTACATTTCTCATAACTTCCAAAATCTATTTTCTTCCTCATAACTGACGCATATACTTTCTGCTCCCCGGCTCCTTCAGCTGTACTCACTCTTTAAGTCCCACAATTACCATTGTTCCTGGCCCAGACTTCAAACTGGCCTCCCACATTATTCCTGATACCACACCTGACCCCCATGACTGTATCTCTCTGATCCACCTGATATTCACCCCATTTCCCCATATTTCCTTCTTTCCTGTTCCTCACCCTGATCATGCTTGATTTATTGATGGCAGTTCTACCAGGCCTTATCGCCACACACCAGCAAAGGCAGGCTATGCTATAGTACAAGCCACTAGCCCGCCTCTCAGAACCTCTCATTTCCTTTCCATCGTGGAAATCTATCCTCAAGGAAATAACTTCTCAGTGTTCCATCTGCTATTCTACTACTCCTCAGGGATTATTCAGGCCCCCTCCCTTCCCTACACATCAAGCTCGAGGATTTGCTCCCACCCAGGACTGGCAAATTAGCTTTACTCAACATGTCCGGAGTCAGATAACTAAAATACCTCTTAGTCTAGGTAGACACTTTCACTGGACAGGTAGAGTCCTTTCCTACAGGGTCTGAGAAGGCCACCGCAGTCATTTCTTCCGTTCTGTCAGACATAATTCCTCCGTTTAGCCTTCCCACCTCAATACAGTCTGATAACAGACCAGCCTTTATTAGTCAAATCAGCCAAGCAGTTTTTCAGGCTCTTAGTATTCAGTGAAACCATTATATCCCTTACCGTCCTCCGTCTACAAGAAAAGTAGAACGGACTAAAGGTCTTTTAAAAACGCACCTCACCAAGCTCAGCCACCAACTTAAAGAGGACTGGACAATACTTTTACCACTTTCGCTTCTCAGAATTCAGGCCTGTCCTCAGAATGCTACAAGGTACAGCCAATTTAAGCTCCTGTATAGACGCTCCTTTTTATTAGGCCCCAGTCTCATTCGACACCAGACCAACTTAGACTGTGCCCCAAAAAAACTTGTCATCCCTACTATCTTCTGTCTAGTCATACTCCTATTCACCATTCTCAGCTACTCATACATGCCCTGCTCTTGTTGACACTGCCGGTTTACACTGTTTCTCCAAGCCATCACAGCTGATATCTCCTGGTGCTATCCCCAAACTGCCACTCTAAACTCTTGAAGTAAATAAGTAATCTTTGCTGGCAGGACTATGCTGAATCTCCTTAGGCACTCTCTAATCAGATGTCCTAGGTCCTCCCAATTCTTAGACCTTTTATACCTGTTTTTCTCCTTTTGTTATTCCATTTAGTTTTTCAGTTCATACAAAACCGTATCCAGGCCATCACCAATAATTCTACACGACAAATGTGTTTCTTCTAGCATCCCCACAATATCACCCCTTACCACAAATCTTCCTTCAGCTTAATCTCTCCCACTCTAGGTTCCCACGCCGCCCCTAATCCCGCTTGAAGCAGCCCTGAGAAACATCGTCCACTCTCTCTCCATACCACCCCCAAAAATTTTCACCGCCCCAACACTTCAACACTATTTTATTTTTCTTATTAAGAAGGCAGGAATGTCAGGCCTCTGAGCCCAAGCCAAGCCATCACATCCCCTGTGACTTGCACGGAAAGGACCAGAAGGCCTGAAGTAACTGAAGAATCACAAAAGAAGTGAAAAGGCCCTGCCCCGCCTTAACTGATGACATTCCACCATTGTGATTTGTTCCTACCCCACCTTAACTGAGTGATTAACCCTGTGAATTTCCTTCTTCTGGCTCAGAAGCTCCCCCACTGAGCACCTTGTGACCCCCGCCCCTGCCCACCAGAGAACAACCCCCTTTGACTGTAATTTTCCATTACCTTCCCAAATCCTATAAAACAGCCCCACCCCTATCTCCCTTCACTGACTCTCTTTTCGGACTCAGCCCGCCTGCACCCAGGTGAAATAAACAGCCATGTTGCTCACACAAAGCCTGTTTGGTGGTCTCTTCACATGGATGCGCATGAAAGAGACCACCAGAACATAAATATATAAATGCTGCAAAACACAAACATAAACAAGAAAATAATATATCTAAAACAAAGGTTAGTGAATTTATGGAAGCTGTTACACCTAAATGAGTAAGCCAGATGGAGAATCTAAGTATATGTAAGTGGAATTTAGTTTTATTCAAGAAGGATATTCTATAGTAGGTTATTATACGAAATTAAGCTAATTGTATCAAATGGAATTTTTAGTTTACAACCTCTTTTTCTTTCTAGACAATGCGGTCCTTGAATGTCAAAGTGCTACCTCAATTCCTTTAGATACCTTCATCACCAAGCACTAGATTTGACACACAGAAACCATTCCACATATGTTTGTTAAATAAATGACAACACATATTCATTAAATATTTACTAGGTTTCAAGTGGTTTGTTAGACAAAAGCTACAGGAACCTATAAGACTTGTTGAAATATTAATTCTCCATATCCCAACATTAGACTGCAGAATTTACCACTTTATTGTCTCTAATTTAAAGCATAAAAATTAATTCTGGAAATTTCTTTTAAGCAATAAAAAAATTCAAATAAATGAGGAAGATTAGTTTGACAGTGATCCTCAAGGAATGAGCTAGGCAATTGACCAGTATATTTAAAATCCTTTGGTAAAATGCCACCTGATAATTAATTGTCAGAGGCTTGCCTGTGAGATCCCTGTGAGTTAAGCAGGAGACTTGTCCAGCTTAAATATTAAATGTATAACGAGGAACAAATACATGAGAAGTAAATGAACACAAGAAAACATGCCAAAAATAATATATCTAACTTAGGGGTTACAAAATATGAGATTTATAAATCAGAGTCCTTTTTCATAAATGGCTCAATATCTGACACAGCAACCCCGGCTAACTTTACTGGAGAAACACATGTTCAGAAGAAACTTTCTTAGCTTTCCAATATAAATGCCCTTGATAAAAAAAGCAGACATCTAAGTCACTACTACTGAGGACTCCATTTATATTTTATGTCGAGATACTTTTCCATCCACTTTTACATCCAGATACTTTGTCATAAAAACAGAAAAGATACTGAATCAATACCATCATGTATTGTCAAATTTCATCCGCCTCCATGAGTCTGATCTCCTGATACCATTTCTCTGGACATTAATAAATACTTGTTCTAGTCTTTAAATCATAATGCTTAAGGGACATATATGAAATAAATTGTCTTTAGGATAATAAAGAGTTCTTCATGCTTGAAAGACTAAATTAAAATTCTAGTACTTTAATTACTATAAAGCTTACACAATTATGGATATAAAAATATTATGGAAAGCCAGCATCATTGCAAAAGAGCATGATGATGAGGTTCAGGATATTCCACGCCAAAATATGACTGTAAGAGACAAGAATATTGAAGCAGGAAAATAGGATCTGGAATCAGGGAACATAAGTCTGATTCACACTTCATCTATGACAGGAAATATTCTCTCCATAGGGAGTAGGCCAAGTAAATGACTTTATAACTTACTTCATCCTCTCCATTTACATAGGGCATGCCCCAAGTAACTAATGAGGTTCTCTTGGGGGTACTTAAACCCCTCCAAAAATCTGTAACGGGACCTTTGAGCCCCTATGCTTAGGCCCAGTCCCACATTATGGAGTGTACTTTCATTTTCACTAAACCCCTTCGTCCCTTTCTTGCTTTGTTTGTGCCTTTTTTGCAATTCTTTGTTCAAGATGCCAAGAACCTGAACATCCTGCACTGTTAACAATACGTTACCTCAAAATATGCCTCATTGACACAAAGATTTCTTTAGAGCTGTCATTTTGAGGAACTGCAGACAGAAGAATTTCTGAGAAGTTACCGTTTTGTAAAAGAAATTTACAGCTATAAAGGAAATCTCCATTTGTAAGGGTGTTCCCTCCCTGCACCAGGAAGAAAAAGAGAACTGAATTACTGGAGATTCTTAACCAGTGAAGAAGGCATTGACTTAAATCTGCACAACAAACATTACCTTTGTTTCATGGTGTTTTTTTCTGGCTATCTTATCTTAACTGCACCTTTCCCCACACCCTTCTTTCTTTGCTTCAGAGAATCGCGGTAGTTAAGCCTGAAGTTTAAGACAACTCTTTGAGATCTACTCTAGGGATTTACTCATTTCTCTGGATTATCTTCTGGGAATGGAAAATAAAAACATGGGAGCCCAATTCACTATGCCAAAAGGAAAAAATTAAGCTCAAAGCTGAGTCATGCAAGAAACTGACTTTCTTTTTGTTCCTAAGCAGATAGCTACAGATAAAAGGTTAAATAGCTCCATAGATAGCTACTCCATGTTCACCTTATCTTAGGTAAACTGCTGATTTACTGAGTTTGAGAATAATATATAATTGACTATTCCCCTACTTGTTCCTTTTGCTTACAACATGTGGATTCCATAATGAGACCGTATCCTCCCTCTTTCCCCTCCAGCCAGCTCTTCCCCTTTAAATATCAAAGCCTTCAAAATCATCTTTGGAGAAAAGCACAGACCTCCCTCCTAGGCATGTCCTTCACATTGGCAAAGTAAACTTCTAAATTGATTGAGGCCTGTTTCAGATACTTTCTGGTTTACAAATTGGTGACCAATGAAGGGAACTCTTGAGTGGAGGGCTGATATGTTAAGAACATCCTGTGGTTTGGCTGGACACAGTTGGCTCACGCCTGTAATCCCAGCACTTTGGGAGGCTGAGGAGGGCAGATCACTTGAGGTCAGGAGTTCGAGGCCAGCTTGGCCAACATGGTAACACCCCATCTCTACTAAAAACACACACACAAAAAACAACTAGCCGGGCTTGGTGGTGGGCGCCTGTAATCCCAGCTACTTGGAACAGGAGCCTGACGCAAGAGAATCACTCAAACCTGGGAGGCTGAGGTTTCAGTGAGCTGAGATGGCACCATTGAACTCCAGCCAGGGGACAGAGCGAGTCTCAAAAAGAAAAAAAAAAAAAAAGAAAAGGAAGCTAGGAATTGAAAGATACAGAAGGAATATGTACTTAATGAACATGAAGTTACAATCTAGGTGTGATCATTATATTTATGTATACAAATGATTAAAAGAGATCACAGAAGGTTTTATGGAAGAAAAATTTCCAGAAAAGTCGAGAGAAAAGCAGTGGTTAAAATATCAAATGTAACAGAAAGTTTGGATGTAGGAAGCAGAAAAATCTTGCCCAAATTATAAAAGGGTTATACTTTAATCAGGAGGGGAATGTAATTAATTATAGCAAGGAATATGTGGTGAGAAAATGTAGTTAATAGCGGGGAGATGAGCCCTTCAATTTAGTAGTGAATTACATCAATATCTAGCAAGGGTAGCTGACTTAAGGGGAGGCCTTTTTATTTTATATATTTTTTTATTGACAAATGACTTTTACATATTTTTAAATATAAAAGGGCAGTGGCATTTAGGAAGGGACTAAAGAGCTAGATATTTCAAGATTTCAGAGGGAATAAATGAGAGGCTAGAAAGGAACTCAGAAATGTATTGAGGTTACAAAAATTGTTTCTATCTTAGGATAGTAGGATTTCAAGTAATCTGCTGGTAATTCAGGGCTGGAAATTGTGAAAGAAATTCGAAAATAGTTGAAAAGCTTTGGAAAGTCATTCAAAGCATGGGATAGAAAGATAATGAGAGGAGAATAAAAATATTTCAGAACAATAGCTAGATCCCAACTGAAACTTAGTACTATTAATGTGTAGTGAGCTAAATCTTCAGTATAATTTTTTTGATTTTTTAATTTTTCTACCTAAATGTGCTCAGTGGCTGTGAAGAATACATTCTACAAGGGTAATCTACAGTTGGAAACTGGCACTCCAAACAGAGAAACCAAGGATAACAATGATGAGACAGAATGATAAATATAACCGGGAAGGAATTTTATCAAGTGGGTAAAATGGAGAGGGACTGAGTAATTGGAGAACCTACTGAATGGAAAGCTCAAGTTAACCAGACAGGATAATATAAAGCAGTTAATAAACTGGTGAACTTAAAAAGGGAGGACTATGCTCAAAATTATGGAGACCTTGAAATCATATGAATATAAGATCCAGGGAATGCACATATGTACATATAAGAACCACAGAATTGAGAAATGTAGTATACAAAGATGTAAAACAAAACTGATATTCACCTGTGGTGATGGCTACATTAACAGTTGTAACACTGAATGCCAGTTTGTATTTTTAGTAGAGACGAGGTTGGCCAGACTGATGTTATCGGCCACTGTGCCTGGCTGATAAGTGTAAGTCTTGAACAAGCATGACACTAGCATAGATGGAGAATCCCAAAAGATCAAAGTGTCCTTTACATTATCTGATATTTTTTGCCACTGATCAAATTTTCAGCCATTACCATTGAGTTAAATAAATAATCTGTTCCAAAGCAAGAAGCTGTTAAGACCCTATGAAAGGCTTCACAGTGTACCTGCAGTACAATGTCCCTAGAAGAGCATATCTATAGAACATATGTAGGATGAAGGGGAATTAGTTTCCTTAGGTGGTAATGCTAAATTAGAGCTCTTAGTGTGATTTAATTTTTCATAATACTAATTACACCCAGCCTGGCCAACATGGTGAAACCCCGTCTCTACTAAAAAATACAAAAAATTGTTGGGCGTGGTGGCACATATCTGTAATCCCAGCTACTCGGGAGGCTGAGACAGGAGAATTGCTTAAACCTGGGAGGCAGAGGTTGCAGTGAGCTGGGATCACACCACTCTACTCCAGCTTGGTGACAGAGTGAGACTCTGTCTTAAAAAAAAAACAAAACATACTAATAACACTAAACTGAATGTTTAATAAGGAAAACTGGCAAAAGAAACAGAAGAAATAGCATTTATAATCATGCAGATTTAGCCTCATGCATTTGCTAGATCATAATAGTCCAAAAAGTAATATAGGAAAATAATCCTTCTCTAAAATAAGACATGAAAATGTATCTCTTCAGAAATATACCATTAGAATTTGTTTTATTTAGATAACTGAAAAAATCTCAGTGTTACTGCTATGGTTTGAATATGTCTCCCAAATTTTATGTGTTAGAAATGTAATCCCCAAATTCACACATTGATGGAAGATGGGGCCTTTTGGGGGCCATTAGAATTAGATAAAGTCATTAGGGTAGGGACCCCATGACGGGATTAGTAGCTTTATAAGTACAAGAGACACCTAAGCTGATACACACACTCTTGCCTTCACACCATGTGATGCCTTCCACCATGTTATGATGCAACAAGAAGGTCCTCAGCAGATGCTGGTACCTTGATATTGGACTTCCCAGCCTCCAGCACTGTAAGAAATACATTTCTTAGTTTATAAATTACACAGTCTGTGGTATTCTGTGATAGCAACAGAAAATGAGCTAAGATAGTGCCATTCTGCATTCAAAATTCTAAATTATGCTTTTAGGAGAATTTCTGAAGCAGGAACCTCCAAACACGTCTGCACTGTTGTACAAAACAGCAAATGAAGCAATACCTTGGAGACACCAGCAAAATGGGTATTTTAATACATGTTGGATCAAACAATTTCACTGCTCCCCTCATCTTCATGTAGCCTTGGAGCAAATGATTGCACAAATGTCAGTAGTCTGGCCAATGACAGAGAATGGCTTTTACTTGCTTTGCTACTATAGCTACTCTTTCTATTATCCATTACGTGAGTCTA
Organism: Homo sapiens; assembly: GCF_000001405.40. Classification (NCBI taxonomy): domain Eukaryota; kingdom Metazoa; phylum Chordata; class Mammalia; order Primates; family Hominidae; genus Homo; species Homo sapiens. Next base: position 92,267,398 of record NC_000023.11, on the reverse strand, counting down.
AAAGAATCTGCTTTTTAATTTACCTCAGGCAGATATAGAGAAATCGGAAATATACTCCTCGGAGAATCTCAGTCAGTTCTGTTTCTGCCATATTCAGTTTAGCACTTTAGTGAACATTCTCTTTAACAAGCCTGGCCATTTGTGCAAACCCTAAGGGCAATTTAGTCTCAGGCTAAGCCAAAGTGGGAAGGGATCTTGAAAAAAATGTCTACATGGAAATGTTCAGGTTAATGCTAAATAAGGGAAAGCTGGTAGATTGAATAAAAAGAGCAGTTTGTATTCATACGAGGAAATTTCAAAAACTATTAACCAGATTCAAAAAACTGTAATTCCCTTTTTAGTTGAAAATAAGTAGGCCGGGTGCAGTGGCTCACACCTGTAATCCCAGCACTTTGGGAGGAAAAGGTGGGCAGATCACTGGAGGTCAGGAGTTCGAGACCAGCCTGGCCAACATGGTGAACCCTCGTCTCTATTAAAAATACAAAAATTAGCCAGGCGTGGTGGCAGGCGCCTGTAATCCCAGCTAATCGGGAGGCTGAGGCAGGAGAATCATTTGAACCTGGGAGGTAGAGGTTGCAGTGAGCCGAAATCATGCCATTGCACTCCAGCCTGGGGTCAAGAGCAAGACTTTGTCTCCACATAAAAAAAAAAAAAAGAAAATAAGTACTGCTTACACTATTCAATTACAAGTGGCCATGTGTTGAAATTTGTTTTTCCTCCTAATTAGTAATTAACCACATGGATAACAACTGGTTAAAGAATGAATGAACTATGACATGTGGCATTTGCTTCTTTTCTGCTGTGAATGCCACTAGCTTATCTACGAAATATAACATAATTTTTTAAGAGGGGGTAGAAAAAGTGTCTATCTTTGTAACTTAAACCTCTGATTTGAAATCTAAATATAGGTCCTATTTGGTGAGTACTTTGAAGTCATTTACACTTAAATCTAGAGAAATCATTGAGAAATTATCTTCTTCTTTGATGTTTTAGACTCTAAAAGATAAAGAATTCATCTAGATACTTCATTCTTAGCTAAGATAATGTGTTGCCTTACTTTTTTACAAATGCGAGAACCTTATACTTTCCCATACTCTGAATTAAACTGAACATAAAAGCCATATTTTATAATTCATAAAAAGACTAAAAAGGTGAAGTTCAGGAGTTCAAGAAATGAATTTAACTTTTTATAGAAACATTTGCAATAAATCCCAAGTTAATGAATATTCTGACACTTAATATATTTAAAGTTTATAGCTTCTTGAATTTAATATCCAAAATACCCTTCAAAAGGTATACATAAATGCAATGAACCAAAAATAAAGGACACCAGAGCACAGACCTAATCTCCATAGTATACATTAACAGTATTATATTAGGCAATGTATGGAATGTATATAGACTAGTAAAAATGAGTTAATGATGGGTCTGTAGCATTATTGTAGTTGACAGAAGTAACTTTTTAAAAATTACTATTCCAGAAACATCTTTAGCACCTTTATAACGTTAAATATATTAAATGTTACTTCTAAAACACAATGAAAACACTTATTTTAATATAAAGAAAGTATTTGTTTTACGATTCCAAGTTGTTATCTTTTTAAAGAGAGAATTTCTGGAGACAGATTGCCTGAGTTCAAACCCTGGCTCTTCTACTTGTGAGCTCTGTAACCTTAGGCAAGCCACTTAAGCTCGATGTATCACCATTCCTCATCTGTAAAATAGCCTACAGGATTATTGTGAAGATTAACTGTGTATATATATGTGTATACACATTCCTATATATATGTACGCATACCTATATACATACACACATATATGTATATGTATACACACATGCACAAACATAGAGCGCTTGGAACAGAGTAAGCAGATTTGTATGTTTTTTTTATTATGCTTACTTTATTTTAAAAAAGCTAGTGAAAAAAATAATAAACTTCACAGTTGCCCATTTTTAACTCTCTGCTGTGTTTTAACCCAAATTTTGTCAGGATTTTCGCCTTCCCACGGGCCCCTGAGCTCGGCTTGACATCAAACCTGAGCAACCACTAAAAAAAGTGGAATGTGTCCCAATCATTAGCTTCTCAGGAAATCAGATGACAACAGATACTTTTGGGCCCACTCTCTTGTTGGTCCAGCTTCCTCTTTAAAGATTCTGCTTATCGGCCGGGTGCGGTGGCTCACACACATAATCCCAGCACTTTGGGAGGCTGGGGTGGGAGAAATAGTTGAGCCTGGGAGTTCAAAGCTGCAGTGAGCTGTGATCCATCGTGCCATTGCACTCCAGCCTGAGCAACAGAGCGAGACCCCATCCCCTACCTCCAAAAAAGATTCTGCTTATCTCTGCTTGCTTACCCTTCTTGACCTTATAAAGAAAAGCATTTTCTGTTGAATTTTGAGATCCTTGCAGATTTTTAACGTCATAACCTTCTCCCTATTGCAATATTCTTTCTTCTGAACAAAGTCTCTCTCTATGTCTGTCCAGATTTGTTTTATTTGACAAAAAAAAAAAAAAAAATTGTCCTTCACTAAGAACCTCTTTTTCCATTGGTCCTTATGTCGATTATTTACATGTTGAACTGTTTTATGTTGAAATGTCATGACTTAAGAGTTTCCTGACCTGGAACATAGGTTCTTCCCAGAGTTCTATATGCAGGAGCCTAACTTGTAAAACAAAGACATGTCCTTATTTATATTCACTAAGCTAGAAAAATATTTCCAACATTCCTCTTCTTCAACATTTCAATGTTGAACTAACTGAGCCACAAGTTCATTTCCAAATTCACCAGAATGGTTAAGAATGTTAGAACACAAAATCCCCAAATCTGTAGATCTTCTCTCTCTTTCATTCTCTCTCTCCCTTTCTCTAAATATACACATAATATAATATAAATACATGTTTTATACACACACACACACATATAATCACACTGTACATAGTAGCAGCCAGTGACATTTTACTACCCTTGCTTCCTTCCTTTTAACTGGAGATCTTGTCTATGAACTTTTGTCTTCTGGGAGGAGCTGACTTTCAAAAATTCATCACTCCAAGGCCACAGTGATACTCAGTATGATTCAGAGAGGCAATTGAAAGCACTCCGAAAGATATATTGATTTACAACTCTCTGATGCTGTTATTTTAGTTTATCTCTCAAACATTAATGAAAATCCCTTTTGGCATTGTATTCAAACTCCATTTTCCATTAATTCTCACACTTGATAAAGACATCCAAGGTGAACAGATTACTTTCCGGCATAGCTTAGACAACTCTCTGGCAAGTGCTTTTTCAAACGTAAAGTGTGGTTTCTTAAGCTAGAATAAGATAATTCATCTTTAAGATTATATATATTTAACTTAGCAACAGCAAAGATAAGATTCTGGTGCCTAATATGGATAGCATTTAAGGCTTACTGAATTTAATATTCAAAACGTCTTCTGTCAGAAATTTAAGGGAAATTGATTTCTTTAAACCTCAAAACATAATAAGAAACTAAGGCATAAATGCTAGGAAAGAAATGTTAATAAACAACTGGAAAACTTTATTTTTAGTGGTAGTACAGTTTAACTAGTGAAGTTATTTAACAATATGTATGAGATAGTTTATTTGTTTAACAATAGAAACACAAATTTTTCTAGAAGTCTGGACTGTTCATATACATTAGGTTGGTGCAAATGTAATTGTGGTTTTCACAATAACTTTTAATGGCAAAAACCACAATTACTTTTGAACCATCCTATACTTGAGCAGAACTTAAAATTTTCGCATTGAAGGATGACATTCCAAAACCCAGTTTCTCTGAGATCATCATTTTGCCTATTAACCATGTTTAGTTATATAATTCTTCTCTGTGACCCTATCAAATATCATGATTTATATTCACTAACTTTCTGCTGTCACTGCTAAAATGTGAATTGACACTAAAATTGTTCCTTTTTTTATTGTTAGCATTTATCATAAAATAACTGTATTATCAGACCATTCACAAAGTGATGCTGTCAACAGTATGTTGTTTTGGCATAGTGGGAAAAGAAAGTATTGGGGGAAAATAAAATAAAACGAGACTCGAAATTGTTTCCAGAACTGTGCGATACAAAATGTGAAAACAGCTCAGCTTGACTCTCTTTTAAAGTAGAACCATAACATATGTTATCCTAAGTACTTACAGTTTTAACTCCATGGACTAACTACTGTAGCTTCACACAGTATAAACACAACATTTCAAAATCAATTTTCTTTGAAATTTGCAGTCTTACCTTTCCTGCCACTTTCCCTTCAGATTTCCGCTGATTTAGGATAAAATGGAGGCAAGGGAAGCAAAGGAAAATAAAACAAAAACAAAAATCAGCTCAAATTTGGTTACTGCAAATACATTTTTTTTTTTTTTGAAAAAAAAGCATGTCAACATTCCCAGTGCAATGGTACACAGCTTTGTTTTTCTGCTGAAACTACTTTCATCTCCTACATTCTTCAGTGGTTTGAGTAAAGGGATATAACAGCATTGTAAATCTTGTGCAAAAATATGAAGAGCCACATACAAAATTTCAATTGGCACAAAAAATATATGCTTAGCTCACTTACGCATTAACCAAGAAAAGGCACCCTTCCAATTAGATATTCTGTTATGGTGTCACTTATTTTCTATCCATTTTTAAATGAATGGGCCTTTATTTCAAGCATAAACACATTTTTTAATTGAAATGAGAAAAACTAGGCTCATTGAAAATTAATGATTTGGGGGTAAACATAAGAGATGTTTATACAGCATTGGGATATTATTGCTGAATTTTAAATCAATAGTTTCTGTTGTTCATAGGGGCATCTTAAATCAACTCTGTTCAACTAAATCCTTTTTAATATCATCACGGAAGTCATTCTTTTCATTTTATTTAAGACTTTTTTTTCTCCCTCAACCACTTTCAGGAGACAGGTTAAGTTACTTTTTAAGATACCAGAAGCATATAGACCATTTGTCCTTTTGGATTCATTCTCCTTTGTAGAGGATTAAGTTACTGAATTAAAAGTGAATCAAATGTCAACATTTCCAGCTAATGATGCTCCTGAAAGTCTGTTCTCCGCAATCTTTATCTTAATTCCCTGTTCTTTTTACAGTTATGCAAAAGTTCCTTATAGAGTCTTCTTGAATACAAAGAATCACAGAAAATTGTCAAGAGAGTAGGCTTGAATCTGAAATAAGGGTAAATACTAAGAGAAATAGAGTCAACATAGTAAGAGGATGCATGCTTTCTCCATTTTTTTTTTTATCCAGTGGCTTATTCCCAGACCAAGAAAGTATATTTTTTTCTATCATTTTAACATAACTTGAGTTTACAAAATTGAAATTGAGATAAGCATTCAGATATAGGCACAAACCTATTATCTAAGAAAATAAAGTATGCTTCTTGTCCTTCCACTTCGAGTGTTGTTAGCCCAAGATATTCTTATAATCTCTCTGCATCGATCAGATTCAACCATCAATGGCTCAATGATAGAATTTAATTTTCTGTGAAGGCATAGCCTGAGGATAATGCCTTGAGTAATCTCTTCCAAGAAAGTGTCCTTGGATTTCTCTGTCTTTAAACAATCACTATTTATATCTCTCCTTATTATGAATGATACACTTAAATAATAGATAAAAATTTTTAACTTTCCAAAAGAAATAATCTCAAGGACTATAACATCACCAAAACTTTAGCCATATCTAAGAATATAACATTAAAAAATTAATTTTCTGTTTTATAGAAACACAAAAGATTTTTTTTTAGTTTCATTAGAAATTACTTTCACAATCACAATAGATTAATGTTAGATGTTTCACCACTTATCACAAAGCAATCCAAAAGCATTAAAATTTTTAGTGAGCAAAGTGAAAATCTAAAAATGTGAAACACATCTATCTTGGTAAATTATTTCATGAATTATTGAAAAGTTAATGACTTAACCAACATTTAAGCTAATGAAGAAGTTGGGGTGAGCATTTCCTTTCCTTATCATTTTACTGAAAAAGAACAACTCCAGAATGTATTTATTTCCCTAAATTGTATATTTTCATTAAGAGAATTGTTTATGCTGTGCTACTTTTGCCCTTGTTTGACAATTTCTATTGAGAAAAGCCTAAAATAGATAATGTGGGAAATATTAAAACGATAGTCTTTACACTTATCCACACCACACAGACACAACACAATCTGTCAAATGAGTAGCTTCTAGTGCATGCCTACTAAACAAGCATTAGAATAAAAAGAAAGTACAGAAATATATTGGCAAGCAGGCAAGTAGCTGGGTAAATTGATACCCGATTTGATTATAGAAACATTAAAAAAAAAATCAATGCTGGAAGGGGAAAAAACATGATGAAAAGCAACTCCTGTTTTAATAGAGATATGGATTTTTATACTCTTATTTATAAACTGGCCCTGAACAGGCAACATTACATTAACAAAATATTTGCCCAAATTAAATTATATATAGTGAGGAGTGGGAGAAAAGTTATTGCATCTGAATGTCTATTGGCTCAGTTTTTGCACAATATACATTAGTCATGTTGTGTCGTATGTTCTTATTTACCTCCTGGTGTGAATAAATTCTAACACTTACCACCAACAGGTGAATACTTCCCTTACTGCATCTAAATTTCTAGATTGACAGAGCTATTGAATACAACTAATGAAAAAGAGGGACAGAATGTAATGTCCAAAATAAGTAATGAGAGAGTGGAGGCAGAGCAAGATGGTGAAATAGAAAGTTCCACTGATAGTTGCCCCAAAAAGGAAAACAATTTAACAACTGTCTACACAGAAAAAAAAAACACCTTCATGAGAACCAAAAATCAGGTGTGCCCTCATAATACCTAGTTTTAACTATGTATCCCTGAAAGAGGCATTGGAGCGATAGAAAAAAACAGTCCTGAATCGCTGATGCTACCATTCCCCAACCCCAGGCAGAGGAGGCATGATGCAGAGAGCATCTCCGGGTGCTGGGGGAGGGAGAACACAGCAATTGTGAGGCACCGAACTCAGTGCTGTTTTGTTAAAACAGAAAGGAAAACCAGAAAAAACTCAGCCGACGCCCTCCCACAGAGGGAGCATTTAAACCAGCCCTAGCCAGAGGGGAATCACCAATCCTAGTGGTACAAACTTCAGTTCCTGCAAACATCGCCACCTATGGCTACAGCACTCTGTGTCTTCAAGTAAACTTGAAAGGCAGTCTAAGCCATAAGGACTGCAACTCTTAGGTGAGTCCTAGTGCTGAATTAGGCCCAGAGACAGTGGGCTGAGGGGCACACAACCTACCGAGACACAAGCTGGGGAGGATAAAGGAGGGTTGGCATCACTGATCCCCTAACCCCAGGCTGCACAGCTCATGGCACCAAAGGAGATCACTTCCACTTGAGGAGAGAAGAGGGAAGAATGCGGAGGACTTTGTCTTGCATCTTGGAAACTAGTTCAGACAGAGGAAGACACGGCAACTGTCACAGCTGTGGTGCACCCGTTCCAGGCCCTAACTCCCCAGCAATATTTCTAGACACACCTTGGGAAATAAGAGTATCTGCTGCCTTGAAGGAAAGGACCCGATCCTGGCAGTTTTTATCACCTACTAACTGAAGAGCCCTTGGGCCCTGAATAACCAGCAGTGATACCCAGGTACTACATCAAGGACCTTGGGTGAGATGCTGACACTTGCTGGCTTCTAGTGAGACTCAGAGCATTACCAGCTGTGACAGATAAAAGGTGATATGGTTTGGATCTGAGTCCTCACCAAAATCTCATGATGAATTGTAATCCCCATTGTTGGAGGTGGGGCCTGATGGGAAGTGATTGGATCATGGAAATGGCGTTCTTGTGAATGGTTTAGCACCATCCCCTCAGTGCAGTTCTCATGATAGTGAGTGAGTTATCATGAGATCTGGTTCTTTTAAAACTGTGTAGCAACTTCCCCTCTCTCTTGGTTCTTCTCTAACTATGTGAAGTGCTGCTACCCCTTTGCCTTCCACCATGATTGTAAGTTTCCTGAGGCTTCCTGAGAAGCAGTAGCCACTAAGCTTCCTATACAGCTTTCATAACTGTGAGCCAGTTAAACCTTTTTTCTTTATAAATCACCCAGTCTCCGATATTTATTTATAGCAATGCAAGAATGGACTCACGCAGAAAATTGGTACAAGGAGTGGGACATTGTAACAAAGATACCTGAAAATGTTGAAGCAGCTTTGGAATTTGGTAACAGGCAGAGGTTGGAAGACTGTGGAGGGCTCAGCAGAAGAAAGGAAGATGAGGGAAAATTTGGAAATTCCTAGAGACTTGTTAAATTGTTGTGACCAAATTACTGATGGTGATATGGACACAGATAGCCAAGCTGATGAGGCCTCAGAGATGAGGAGCTTATTGAGATCTGGAGCAAAGGTTACCTTTATTATGCACTAGCAAAGAACCTGGCAGCATTGTGCCTGTGCTCTAATGATCTGTGGAACTTTGAATTTGAGAGTGATGATTTAGGGTATTTGGGAAAAGAGATTTCTAAGCAGCAAAGCATTCAAGATGTTGCCTTGCTGCTTCTAACAGCCTATGCTCTTACATGTGAGCAAAGAAATTACATAAAACTGAAACTTATATTTTAAAAGGAAGCAGAGCATAAAATTTTGAAAAATTTGCAGCCTGGCCATGTGGAAGAAGAGAAAAAAAAAGTCTCCATTTTCAGGGGAGGAATTTAAGCTGGTTGTAGAAATTTGCATAACTAGGCCGGATGCAGTGGCTCACGCCTGTAATCCCAGCACTTTGGGAGGCCGAGGCAGGTGGATCACGAGGTCAGGAGATTGAGACCATCCTGGCTAACACAGTGAAACCCCGTCTCCACTAAAAATACAAAACATTCTCTGGGCATGGTGGCGGGCGCCTGTAGTCCCAGCTACTCCAGAGGCTGAGGCAGGAGAATGGCATGAGCCCAGGAGGTGGAGCATGCAGCGAGCCGAGATCGAGCCACTGCACTCCAGCCTGGGCGATGGAGCAAGACTCTGTCTCAAAAAAAAAAAAAAAAAAGAAATTTGCATAACTAAAAGGAAGCCAAGTGCTGATAGCCAAGACAATGAGGAAATCATCTCAAGGGCATTTCAGACACCTTCACCGTAGCACCCCCCATTACAGGCCCAGAGGCCTAGGAGAACAGAATGGTTTAGTGGGCTGTGCTGAGGACCCTGCTGCACTGCACAGCCTCAGGAGACTGCTCCCTGAATCCCAGTCTCTCCTGTTCCAGACATAGCTAAATGGGGCTCAGGATGCTGCTTCAGAGAGTCCAAGACATAAACCTTCATGGTTTCCACATGGAGGTAAGCCTGCAGGTACACTGAGTGCAAAAGTTGAGACTTGAGAGCCACTACCTAGAATTTTAGAGGGCATATGGAAAAGCCTGGATTTCCAGGAAGAAGCCTGCTCCAGGGGTGGAGCCCTCATGGAGAACCTCTATACACAGTCCCCTCTGGGGCACTGCCTAGTGGAACTGTAAGAAGAAAGCCATGATCCTCCACACTCCACAATGGTAGATCCACCAACAGCTTGTACCCTGTGCCTGGAAAAGCCACAAGCACTCAATACCAGTCCATGAGAACAGCCTCAGGGGCTGAACCCTGCAAAGCCACAGGGGCAGATCCGCCCAAGGCTTTGGGAGCCCACCGTTTGCACCAGTATTTCCTGGATGTGAGATATGGAGCCAAAGGAGATTATTTTGGAGCTTTAAAATTTAATAACTGCTCTGCTGTATTTGGGACTTGCATGGGGTCTGTAGCCCCTTTCTTTTGGCCAATTTCTTCCTTTTTGAATGAGAGTATTTACCCAATGTCTGTAAGACCATTGTATCTTGGAAGTAACTAACTTGTGTTTTATTTTACAGGGTCATAGACAGAAGGGACTAGCCTACTCTCAGATGAGACTTTGGACTTTGGATTTTTGAGTTAATGCTGGAATGAATTAAGACACTGGGGGACTGTTGGGAAGCATGATTTTATTTTGAAATGTGAGAAAGACATGAGATTTGGGGGAGGCCAGGGGCAGAATGATATGGTTTCGATCAGTGCCCCCACTCAAATCTCATGTCTAAATGTAATCCCCAATGTTGGATGTGGGGGCTGATGGGAGATGACTGGATCATGGGGGTGGAGTTCTCATGAATGATTTAGCACCATCCTCTTGGTGCTACTCTCATGATAGTGAGTTATCAGGAGATATGGTTGTTATAAAAGTCTGTAGCAGCTCCTTTTTCCCTTGCTCCTTTTCTGGCCATGTGAAGTGCTGCTCCCCCTTTGCCTTTCACCATGATTGCAGGTTTCCTAAGGCCTCCCTAGAAGCAGAAGCTGCTATGCTTTCTGTACAATTGGCAGAACCATGAGCCAATTTAACTTCTTTCCTTATAAATTACCCAGTCTCAGAAATTTCTTTATAGCATTGCAAGAATGGACTAATACACATGCTGAAATTCCTTTTGCTTGAAAAAAGCAGAGGGAAACGGAAAAAAAAGGACTGAGATCATGTCCTTTTCAGGGACATGGATGGAGCTGGAAGCCATTATCCTCAGCAAAGTAATGCAGAAGCAGAAAACCAAATACCACATGTTCTCACTTATAAGTGGGAGCTGAATCATGAGAACACATAAACACAGGGTGGAACAACACATATGGGGGTCTGTCAAAGGGTTGGGGGTGGGAGGAGGAAGAGTATCAAGAAGAATAGCTAATGGATGCTGAACTTACTATTTAGGTAATGAGATGATCTGTGCAGCAAACCACCACGGCACACATTTACCCATGTAACAAACCTGCATATCCTGGACATGCACCCTTGAGCTTAAAATAAAAGTTGGGGAAAAAAAGGAAAGAAAGATCATTCATTATCACCAAGTGGGATTTATACCAGGAATGCAAGGATGGTTCAATGTACACAAACCGGAGGGAGGAGCCAAGATGGCCGAATAGGAACAGCTCCGGTCTACAGCTCCCAGCCTGAGCGACACAGAAGATGGGTGATTTCTGCATTTCCATCTGAGGTACCGGGTTCATCTCACTAGGGAGTGCCAGACAGTGGGTGCAGGTCAGTGGGTGTGCACACCGTGCGCGAGCTGAAGCAGGGTGAGGCATTGCCTCACTCGGGAAGTGCAAGGGGTCAGGGAGTTCCCTTTCCTAATCAAAGAAAGGGGTGACGGACGGCACCTGGAAAATCGGGAAAATCGGGTCACTCCCACCCGAATACTGCGCTTTTCCGACGAGCTTAAAAAACGGTGCACCACAAGATTATATCCCCCACCTGGCTCGGAGGGTCCTACCCCACGGAGTCTCGCTGATTGCTAGCACAGCAGTCTGAGATCAAACTGCAAGGCGGCAGCGAGGCTGGGGGAGGGGCGCCCGCCATTGCCCAGGCTTCCTTAGGTAAACAAAGCAGCTGGGAAGCTCCAACTGGGTGGAGCCCACCACAGCTCAAGGAGGCCTGCCTGCCTCTGTAGGCTCCACCTCTGGGGGCAGGGCATAGACAAACAAAAAGACAGCAGTAACCTCTGCAGACTTAAATGTCCCTGTCTGACAGCTTTGAAGAGAGCAGTGGTTCTCCCAGTACGCAGCTGGAGATCTGAGAATGGGCAGACTGCCTCCTCAAGTGGGTCCCTGACCCCTGACCAGCCTAACTGGGAGGCACCCTCCAGTAGGGGCACACTGACACCTCACACTGCAGGGTATTCCAACAGTCCTGCAGCTGAGGGTCCTGTCTGTTAGAAGGAAAACTAACAAACAGAAAGGACATCCACACCAAAAACCCATCTGTACATCACCATCATCAAAGACCAAAAGTAGATAAAACCACAAAGATGGGGAAAAAACAGAACAGAAAAACTGGAAACTCTAAAAATCAGAGCGCCTCTCCTCCTCCAAAGGAACGCAGCTCCTCACCAGCAATGGAACAAAGCTGGACGGAGAATGACTTTGACGAGCTGAGAGAAGAAGGCTTCAGACGATCAAATTACTCTGAGCTACGGGAGGACATTCAAACCAAAGGCAAAGAAGTTGAAAGCTTTGAAAAAAATTTAGAAGAATGTATAACTAGAATAATCAATACAGAGAAGTGCTTAAAGGAGCTGATGGAGCTGAAAACCAAGGCTCGAGAACTACGTGAAGAATGCAGAAGCCTCAGGAGCCGATGCGATCAACTGGAAGAAAGGATATCAGCGATGGAAGATGAAATGAATGAAATGAAGCGAGAAGGGAAGTTTAGAGAAAAAAGAGTAAAAAGAAACGAGCAAAGCCTCCAAGAAATATGGGACTATGTGAAAAGACCAAATCTACGTCTGATTGGTGTACCTGAAAGTGATGGGGAGAATGGAACCAAGTTGGAAAACACTCTGCAGGATATTATCCAGGAGAACTTCCCCAATCTAGCAAGGCAGGCCAACGTTCAGATTCAGGAAATACAGAGAACGCCACAAAGATACTCCTCGAGAAGAGCAACTCCAAGACACATAATTGTCAGATTCACCAAAGTTGAAATGAAGGAAAAAATGTTAAGGGCAGCCAGAGAGAAAGGTCAGGTTACCCTCAAAGGGAAGCACATCAGACTAACAGTGGATCTCTCAGCAGAAACCCTACAAGCCAGAAGAGAGTGGGGGCCAATATTCAACATTCTTAAAGAAAAGAATTTTCAACCCAGAATTTCATATCCAGGCAAACTAAGCTTCATAAGTGAAGGAGAAATAAAATACTTTACAGACAAGCAAATGCTGAGAGATTTTGTCACCACCAGGCCTGCCCTAAAAGAGCTCCTAAAGGAAGTGCTAAACATGGAAAGGAACAACCGGTACCAGCCGCTGCAAAATCATGCCAAAATGTAAAGACCATCGAGACTAGGAAGAAACTGCATCAACTAACGCGCAAAATAACCAGCTAACATCATAATGACAGGATCAAATTCACACATAACACTATTAACTTTAAATGTAAATGGACTAAATGCTCCAATTAAAAGACACAGACTGGCAAATTGGATAAAGAGTCAAGACCCATCAGTGTGCTGTTTTCAGGAAACCCATCTCACGTGCAGAGACACACATAGGCTCAAAATAAAAGGATGGAGGAAGATCTACCAAGCAAATGGAAAACAAAAAAAGGCAGGGGTTGCAATCCTAGTCTCCAATGTACACAAACCAATCAATGTGATACATTGTATCAACAGAACGATAGACAAAAACCATATGATCATTTCAATTGATGCTGAAAAAACAGATGATAAAATTCAACATCATTGCATGATAAAAACCCTTTAACTGGGTATAGTAGGAACATACCTCAACATAATAAAAGCCATATATGACAGACTCACATACTTAATGAGAAAAAAACTGAAAGCCTTTTCTCTAAGATCTGGAACACAACAAGGATGCCAATTTTCACCACTGTTATTCAACATAGTACTGGAAGTCCTAGCTAGAGCAATCAGACAAGAGAAAGAAATAAAGGGGAACCAAATTGGAGTGGAAATAGTCTAATTAACCTTGTTTGCAGATCATATGTTCTTATATATGGAAAACCTAGACTCCACAAGAAAACTATTGAACTGATAAATAAATTCAGTAAAGTTGCAGGATTCAAAATGAACATACAAAAATCAGTAGCATTTCTATATGCCAACAGAGAACAATCTGAGAAAGAGATTAAAAAAGTAATCCCATTTACAATAGCCACACATAAAAACAAAAATCCAGAAATTAACTTAACTGAAGAAGTGAAAGATCTCCATAATAAAAGCTATAAAACACTACTAAAAGAAATTGAAGAGGACACCAAAAATTAGAAAAATATTCCATGTTCATGGATTGGAAAAAACAATATTGTTAAAATATTTATACTATTCACAGCAGTCTACAGATTCAATGCAATCCCTATCAAAATATCAATGACATTCTTCACAGAAAGAGAAAAAACAATTCTAAAATTTATATGGAACCACAAAAGACCCAGAATAGCCAAAGCCATCCAAAGCTAAAAGAAAAGTGGAGGAATTATATTACCTGACTTCAGTTTATACTACTGAGCTGTAGTGACCAAAACAGCATGATACTGGCATAAAAACAGACACATAAGCCAATGAAACAGAATGGAGAACCCAGAAACAAATCCGCACACCTACACTGAACTCATTTTTGACAAAGTTGGCAAGGACAAATACTGGGGAAAAAACAGTCTCTTCAATAAATGGTGCTGGGAAAGCTACATATCCGTATGTAGAAGAGTGAGGTCAAGGAAAGATCTATTACCCAAGAGTATTGCTTTTGTGCAGTCTCTCGGCAAAATACTCCTTCTTTATCCTGTCTCCAGGTTTACAACTTTTTTTTTTCTTTTCTTACCTGTGCAAAGTACAGCTGCTATCTTCATTCTGGTTTCAAGTACATCTTTCTTGTGTATTCCTGCTGGTTACAGAGTGTGTATCCTTGTGAACACAAGCATTAGGGACTTTTGACCACTAAGATTAATGTCAGAGTAAAGGAAGTTAGACGGGAATGGGAAGTCAGGGAATCCATGTCTCTAAATGAAGGTAACCGAAAGTGGAAGAAACCTTCTGGAGGATAAAGACACTAGAGTTTATCCTAAGTCACTACTCTGTCTACTGAGTAGAAACAGAGTAGAAAAGAACATGTTCCAGAAACAATGTATTTACTGAGCACAGATTTCTTTTAAAAGTTGACTAAAATCTCATCCAATTTAAAAAAAAAATCATTCCTAAATATTTATTCACTGAATCTGGTGCAATATCAACTTGAGATGTCCAATAAAGGTCAAGATTTAACTAAAAACACTTATCAAAATGATGTTGGCAGTGTTGTGCAGGACTGGAAGTGTTATGGTACATTTTCTAAATGTCATGGTCAAAATGAAAATATTTATCACTGTGAACACGTAGAAAATCCTCAATACATATTTGTCTAATGAATGGATGAAACTAGAGAAGAAAGCTTTTCATATGCATGTGCGCACACATGCGTGTGTGTGTGTGTGTGTGTGTGTAACATGACAAACTAGAAGCTTGTGAAGTCAGGTTGCTAATGCAGGTATTCCATGTGGAATACCTTCTTCCAATCTGTACTTGAAAATTAAATACATAGGTCCTATGACTGAGGAAAAATATTACAACTTTAAGCCAACTTAATTTTTACTTCTTTTAAATAAATATAACTACCACGACCCACTTTACTTTGTTTTGGTAGACATTCTATTTCAGAACTCTATTCAGTTATCAACTTAGAGTGCTGGTGGTTTTAAAGAAAAGACACTGGTAAATGTAATAATAATAACAATAATCTTAAATTTTATTCTCAACATTTGCTTATTGACTATTTTCTTTCTAAAATGTAAATGACCTCTTTAAAAGAACAAATTTATCAGAATGCACCTAGGTATTTCTATTGTCTTATTATTTTTTGGCTAAATTTGAGGCTAGCATAAAAATTGTGTAGCATCTTTATAACAATAAAGATAACATGACATTCAAAATCAGAAGATTCAATTTTTAGTCCTGGTTCCACACACAAGTAGCTGTATGATCTTATTAAAACAAACTTTAGGAGGCACTAAATCCACGGCATTAACTACCCTTATTGATGATAATGATGATAATAATGATGGTGACATTTACAGGAGCATTGATACTACAGTCGTCACTGCCATTGCCATCATCACCTTGTATTTATAGATTATTAGGCATTTAAGTAAATGCTTTACAAGTAACATCTCATTTAATTCTTACATTGACCCTACGATGTGGGCAAAATATTATTCTCATTTTACAAATAGGAAAAAGATGGATCAAAGAGATTAAGAAACTTACCTAGTTGCTCTACTTACAAGGGACAGAGCTGAGGTTTAAAACCAAATTTGCTCAATTCTAAAGTTTACATTCTTAAAAATTTAAGAATTTAAGCTCCATAGCAGGAGGAATTTTTCTTTTTTTCATTTTGGATTTTGGAATACTGCTATATCCTCAATCCCTATAAAAGTACCTGGCACAAAGTATACCTGCAATAAATATTTATAGGCTTAATAAAAGAATAAGCTATACTCCTTTATTCTTTAATTATATAATTATACATAATTGGAGCCAGTGTATAATAATTAATTATGAATCTTGGTTACAAGCATAAATTCTGGAACCGTATTATCGAGGTTCAACTCCTAGCTCTACCGCTTTACCTGTGTTACCCTTTTGCATTAGTTCTATAATGTGTACAATAGAGAAATAAGGGTTCCTGCTTCAGAATATTCGTAAAGTGCATTAAAAAAATTAATTAACTCAAACAGTAACTGCCATTTGTAAGAGTTATATATATGTTAGCTACTATTAATGGTAATTTATTTTAACACCTTTATTGATATACAATTTACATACCGTACAATTCACCTACTTAAAGTGTCAATTCAGAGGTTTTTTTTACTATATTCACAGATATCTGTAACAATCGCCATGGCCAATTTTTGGAACATTCTCATCACCTCAAAAAGAAACACCATATCCTTGATCTATCACCTCTTATATTCCCATTTCTCAACCCCCAAATTTAAACATTTACTATTTCCATCTCTATAAATTACCCTGTTCTGCACATATGAATGGAGTCCTATAATAGGTAGTCTTTTGTGACTAGATTTTTTTCACTTAGCATAATAGCTTCAAGATTTATCCATATTGTAGCATGTTTCAGTAATTCATTCCTTTTTTATGGCCAAATATTATTCATATATATATTTTATATATATTTTTATACATATTATTTTATATATATATATATACATACACACATTATTTTGTTTAAACATTCATCAGTTGATGGACATTTGAGTTGTTTGCACATTTAGCCATTATGAATAATGCTGCTATAAATTAAAAATATTCACCTCAAGTTTCTGAATGGACATATCTTTTCATTTCTTTTGTTTATGTACCTTGGAGTGGAATTGCTCCGTCATATGATAACTCTGTGTTTAACTGTTCGAGTGACTGCCAGACTGTTTTCCAAAGCAACTGTACTATTTCATATTCCCTCCAATGATGTATGAGTTTTCCAATTTCTCTATATCCTCACCAACAAGGTAATTTGTTTTTAACTCATTAACTTTATAGTTCAAAACTAACTATTCCTATCCAAATATTTTTAAAGACTATAGGCAGGTATCCAAAATTGGTTTAATTATATTAATACAATTATGTAGCATAACTATTCTACTATATGAAGTGACATTTGTCAAAAAAGTGCCAAACTCATCCTTTCAAAGGGTTGAAAAATTACTCATTACCTAATATGAATTTACCCATCATTTCAAATACATATTTTAAATAAGGAAATTCCCTCCGTTAGAGCGAATGACAATTTTTAAAAGATTATCAAATTATTATGTATTAAAATCCCAACAACTGTATAACACTGTTAAAGTCCGAAAAAAAGACAATTGGAAGAAGAGACACAATATCATGGGACGATGATATTGCAGTTACCGGACAAGGACTAAGGAAATTAGGAGTATTTGATTGAGTCTACTTGAAATGATTTTTTACGAATCCTGCATCTTGGAATTGGAACATGCAGATTATATAAAGTACTATAATGAAAGCCAAATTAAAGGGGATAAAAACCAATGCTATTCTCAAAATGGATCCTAGGGTCCATCTAACAAAGCTTAACAGGGACAAAATATTCTCAAAACAATGTAGAAGCAGAATATTATGGCTACTGCCAAATTCCCAGCTTCTTAGCAGGAGACACAGTTGAATTAGAGTACAGTTGCACCTTATTCTCACATAATTGTTTTGGCTTATTCAAAACCCTAGTCTTGCCCTGAAACATTCTTTACTATGTTAGTAACAAAAGCAATGTGACAGGCACATCTGCTTTCTGAAAAGATTGCATGTCAGTTGAAACAATGTTTTATTTTTAATAGTTTGAATTTTGCATAAAGATACCTTTATTTGCTGCTAAAGATCTATGCAAATGGCTCCAACATCACTTTAAATTACAGATCATCTTAACGTGTCACTCTTGTGGCATGTGAAAATCTGACTGAGAATGTATATTGTGTCTATTAAAGCTTGTAGATGTTTGCACAATGAACATAAAACCAATAAAGTGATTACGAGAATAAACAACAGAATACAAATGATCTTTCTTATTTACTAGAAGGAAAGCATTTTTTAAAAATGTAATAGCTTCAATACTGTTTAATTCTGTGAATATCTGGTTTTCATATTAGATAATAGTATGACAAACTATATATATATACATACATATATATGTATGTATATATATGTGATAAGAAAAAAAGATTAAAAGCTTGCCTTTATATCAAACTCCAGGACAGATAAAAGGGTATTTAAAAGGAGAATTACTGGCCGGGCACAGTGGCTCATGCCTGTAATCCCAGCACATTGGGAGGCCAAGGCTGGTGGATCACCTAAGGTCAGGAATTCGAGACCAGCCTGGCCAACGTGGTGAAACCCTGTCTCTACTAAAAATACAAAAATATTAGCCGGGCATGGTGATGGGCGCCTGCAATCCCAGCTACTCAGGAGGCAGAGGCAGAGAATTGCTTGAACCCAGGAGGCGGAATTGCTTGAACCCAGGAGGCGGAGCCAAGATCGCACCACTGACTCCAGCCTGGGCGACAGAGTGAGACTCTGTCTCAAATAAATAAAATAAAATAAAATTACTAAAACTTATTCCTTCAATCTATGTTTGATAGCACAGTAGAGTAACTATAGTTAATAATAATTTATTAAACATTTCAAAATATCTAGAAGATTTGGAATGTTCCCAACAAAAAGAAATGACAACTGCTTGAGGTGATGGATATCCTAACTACCCTAATTTGATCATTACACATTGCATGCATGTATCAAAATATCACATGTACCCCATAAGTATGTATGCTTATTATTTGTCCATATTAAAGAAAAAAATAAAATAACATTACTATTTCATTAGTATGGGCCTTAAGTGAAAGTAAAATGCTATTATAGTAATTTTAATTAAAGACTAGTTATATATATAACTAACTTTCTGATACTGACTTGAACCTAGAATGTGGCTGCATTCCTTTTGATTTATCCCTAAGGATTTAGTTTCAAGGTAATATTTCCTAGCTTATAACAGATTGAGAAGTTATTATAATTGCCTGATACCTGGTTCCATCTCTTGTTTATTTCCTAGGTGGGAAACATATTGTCTTCTGGGATTATCATATAGTTTCCCTGAGTTCTTAGTTGATGCTACTCTATTCTCTCTGTTTCAAACTCCTCTAGCAATTCCATGCTGAACTTCCACTTTCAGTGCATTTTCTGTGAAATTTTCAACTTTATTTCAAATCACCTAAGAAAAGTGAAGTTCAAGACAAAGCCACTCATTTTTTTCCAGTTGAATTCATTATTTTTATGTTTGTCAGGTTTCACTAAATTGTTGTCAGGTTTCACTAAACCTGTCTCAATACTATCAACTCAAATAATGCACAATAGCTACAGAGGGTGAAATAACGCCCTCCAAAAACTCATGTCCACTCACAACTCAAAGTGTGGCCTTATTTGGAAATAAGGTCTTTGCAGATGTAATTAGCTAAGACTCTAGAGATAAAAATCATCCTGGATTTAGGAATCCCTAGATCCAACGACTGACGTCCTTATAAGAAAAAGGCACACAACAACACATGAAGAGAAGGCCATGTGAAGATGGAGGCAGAGATTGGAGTGGTGCAATTAGTAGCCAAGGACAGCCAGTGCAACCAGAAGCTGGAAAAGACACGGAAGAATTCTTACCTAGAGCTTTCAGAGGGAGCACGGCTCTGAGAACACCTGATTTCAGACTTCTAGCCTGCAGAACTATGAGAGAATAATTTTCTATTGTTTTAAGCCACCAAACTTCGTGGCAATGTGTTATGGCAGTCCTAGAAAACAATACAAGTAACCAAAGAGACATGCTTCCACCTCAGGAAAAGAGGAAGCTAGTCAGAAAATGGGTTGTTCCATCAGTTAACTAATTTATTTTTTTTAAATGCCTGGAAAGACTGTTGACCACAAATATGTAAGTTTCTGGAGAGTTGAGATGAATAAGTAAGCATGACACATGGAAGAAGTATCAGGCTTTAAATAGCCAAATACAGGTTACAGTCCCAGTAAATACAGTTACTCTTCATTAGTAAAGCATTTTGCAATAGCCTATTTGGTACTATGTGCAAGCTTTCTAAGTCATAGAAAATGAATGCGATAAGGCTTCTGTCCTAGAGGAACTCAGAGTTTAATCGACTCATAGTTTAGAAGCTGAAATAGATAATTACTAGATAAGTGTTATCGTGGGCAGATAAATAAAATGCTGGCAATACTCTAAGGGATCAAAGAGCTGTGTGACACTGAGCAAGTCCTTGAATCTCAAATTATTAATCTGTAAAATTGGAATAACAACAACATACACCTTCTATCTTTAGAAGTCATTTTGAAGGTCATGTAAAATCCTCTTTCTCTCCATTCCTCCTTTCTTTCTTCTTATACGTCAACTATTTTTGACATCAACTATTTTTAAGTGTTCTCTGAACCAGACATTCTGTTAGGTATTTAATATATATTATCTGAATTTATTTTTAAATATTTTATCATAGTAAATATCCTACTTTTACATTTTTAAAAATGAGAAACAGAGATTTCTACTATTTGCCAAAATCACATCGACTGTAAGTAAGTATGTAAAACTCTTTTCAGGTCGGGCACGGTGGCTTACACCTATAATCCCAGCACTTTGGGAGGCTGAGGCAGGTGGATCACCTGAGGTCAGGAGTTCAAGGCCACCTGGCCAACATGGCGAAACCCCGTCTCTACTAAAAATACAAAAATTAGCCAGGCATGGTTCCGGGCACTGTAATCCCAGCTACTCGGGATACTGAGGCAGGAGAATCGTTTGAACCCGGGAGGTGGAGGTGGCAGCGGGCCGAGATTGTGCCACTGCACTCCAGCCTGGGCGATAGAGTGAGACTCTGTCTCAAAACAACAACAACAACAAAAAAGTAAAAAAAAAATCTTTTCACCACAACTTGTTGCTATATAACTTAGATATAAATATGTACAAAATAAATATTATACTACTGGGAGTTCATGTCCAATATGCCCCAACGCCTATGAATAAGTGAGTTAGATGATGAAAACGATGGGAAATATGCATGAATAATTATGAGTAGATGAATATTATGTAACCTCTGTAGTACTTTGTTTCCTAATTAAATGATCATCTATGCTACAGGAAGAACATTCCGATATGTTTCTACAGTATAGGCATTTGAATTAATTTTAGTGTTATGCAATTACATTTGTATTTACCTCATGAAGTTCTCTAAGTTAATTCCCCCCCAAAATTTACAATTAGATTTATACTATCTATTAGGATATTCGGTATTTTTAAATATGCAAGTAACATGGCCAGCCCCTAACATGGATCGTTTAATCAGTTTGAGTATTAATCCATTTATTTTTATAATGTAGTTAAACTATTAAATTGTACAATTGACAAATATTTCAATTCAACCATTTTAGGTCTCTACTCACTTTCCCCATGGTTAATCAAGGTGCATCATATGTAAGGAGAACCTCCTTTGTGTGGACAAAAGGCCAAGGTTTAACAATCTATCCTCCCTTCATGTAGGAAGGACTGCCCAATGTGTCAAAGCTGGGAAATCTACAGCTTAGGATAAATTTTTGTCTCCTACACCATTTCTAACCCACTCATTCATTCACCAGGCTAGTTGCTCATTCATTTATTCATTCACCAGGCTAGCTTTTAAGTATACAGAGATTGCCAGAATAGACATACTCATCTTTGTCCTCACAGAGATTAGAGTCTCCTTAAGGGAACAGAGACAAGAGTATAGTGATGTCAAAATAGTCTGGCAACTTTTTCTTCATTAATAGAGGTATCATTGTATAATTTTGTCTCTCAGAATAATTTATAAATATTTAGTTACAGCTTTAGCAGAGATATACAATAAGCATTACTTCAGGGGCAACTTAATATTTACCACAGCTCAATTCCAATATCTATCATGCTGCCAGATTTCCATAATACAGAAATAAAAGCAGTCCTCCTGAGTGATCCACGAAGTCTTGAATTATCAAAGGCTTACATTAAAACTGCATAAGATAGGGTCTGAGCTTTATTTAAAAAGGTATTTCATTCCCCTAGAGGCTCATCCGCCTCAGGCGTCTTCCCAGTATTTAGCTCTTAAAGTATCTAAAATATTTTAAACTTGTACATATGTACTCTTTGTGAATCTATCATATAGATCTCCTTTTTTCCCAGTTTATCATATTGTGCAGCTCTTATTTTCAGTTTCCAACTCAACATAAAACACTGGATGGTTCCACTGATCTTTCTGGCTGAGTTTATTCGCACCAGAGCTCTGTATTCAGGACATTTTTATTTTTACTATTAATTGCTTATCATTGGTACTTTTGGAAGAATGATAGAGTTGTATTTCTTTGGGAACGCTAATTATGGAATTTCCTCAATCAACAAATATTATTGAGCATCCACTATGTGACAGGCATAGCACTTTAGATCGCAGGCTCTGGGAGCAGACTGCCTCTCTCAAAACCCAATTCTACCACTTAACTCTATGACCGTGGGAAAGTTACTTAATTACTCCAACTACTTTGTTCTTAAGTCTATTAATCTGTAAAACACCAATGACAATAGTGAGTATAAGAAACGGTGGCTGTGAGGGCTAATTGAGTTAACACAGTAAAGCACTAACACACAGTCCTGTAGTAAGCACTTAACAAATTCTGGTTATTATTTTGATGACGATCATTATTTTAATTATGCACTGTGTGAAACCTTGAGAATACTATGATTCAAAAAGAAACAATCTTACAATCCACTGACCAAGTCAGCTACTAAAAATTACTTAAGGAAGATCAATTAATTGCTGATATGTATAAAAGTGCTTTGAATGACAGTAAAAGACTGTGAGTGGGAAAACTTTTGCTTTAGGGTCCCAAGGGAATCATTAGCTTGTGAAAATTACAGAAAATTGTATAATACTGATCTAGTTTGCCTAAAGCATAGAAAATATGTTTTAAAAAATAAAACATTTTATTCAGCTAGTGATTACGGTCCAAAAGTAAAAAAGCTAGGTTCATTGAAGGCTTTAAACATGTATAAATCTCCAGAGCCACAAGACTTAATGCATGCCCCTTAATGTTAAATCAATAGTGAAACAGAGGTTTCTATCTTAGGCTCATGGGATCAGACTCTTGGCCCAGATTATCAGCTCGTTATCATATTCATTCTAATTGTGGCTCATCTTGAAATGATTAGATCTATTGTTAGAAAGTGGCCTTGTCAGCGCTAAGGATGCAGTGATTAATAGATAATTCAGAATAATTTCTTTGGATATATGTCTAAACTCTCAATCGAACTGTAGACCCAAATTATTAAGTGATTACAGGAATTTTAATTTCTACCCTTTATTCACATTCATCTCCACAGGAAGTAATTATTGCAAGCAAAGAATAGCAGAAATCAAAATATTTTATAACTAGTCATCTACAGAGAGATAGAAAAACTTAAAGTGGGCTACGTGAACAACCCTTGATATCATAAGCCAAAATTAAAGTATACCATTAAAAATGCTGTAACAAAATCTGGTTTAATTTAGATGAAGGTCAAACTTACTGTTGGTGGTATCAAGACCTTTTTTCCCACTACTAAGGCATCTTTAGTTATTTTGGAGGTATAAATAAGCTATTCTAAAATTATATGGAAAGGCACATGACCTAGAATAATTAAAACAATTCTGAAAAAGAATAAAATGGAAGGAATCACTCTACCTTACATTAAGGCCTATTAAATAGCTACAATAATCAAGACAGTGAGGTACTGACAAGGGAATAGAAACATAGATAACTGGAACAAAGTAGACCACCCAGAAATAAATTCTCACAAATGTCTGATCGATTTTTGAAAAGGGCGCAAAAGTGATTCAATGAAGGAAGGGTATCCTTTTCTATAAGTGTTTCTCATGCAATTGGATATTTATAAATAAAATAATGTACCTTGATTTAAACTTCATACTTTACACAAAAATTAATTTAAAATTTAATTCAAAAATTAATTCAAAATTAACTCAAATGTAAGGTGTAAAATTATAAAACGTCTACAAAAATATTTTTTAAAATTTCAGAATTTAAGGTTAGGCAAAGTGCTTTTGTACTTGACACCTAAAGTGAAATGCTTACAAGGTGAAATTGCTTAATTAGATTTCATTAGAAATGAAATCTTATGATTTACAAGATTCTGTGAGAAGATTGGCAGAAAATATTTGCAATTCACATATCTGAAAAAAGGAATAATATCTACACTACTAATGAACTTTAAAAATTCAATAGTAAAAAAAAGAGAGCAGTTCAGTCAGAACACGGACAAAACTATCAACTGCTATTTCAACAAAGAGTAAATCCGAATGTCAAACATGCACAAGAAAAGATGTTCAGCAGAGTTAGCCATCAGGGAAATGCAAATTTAATCCACAATGAGATATCATTATACATCTATCAGAATGCTAAATTTAATAATAATAATAATAATACCACCAAATGCTGGAGAGGTTGCAGAGAAATGAATCAAGCATACATTGCTGATGGCAATAAAGTGGTATAGACATTCTGGAAAAAAATTTGGCAGTTTCAAAACTAAACATGTGACCTAGCAATTACACCTTTGGACATTTATTTCAGAGAAATTAAAACTCATATTTACACAAAAGATTGTACACTAATGTTCATAGCTTTATTCATAATAACCAAAAATTCAAAACAGCCTAGGTGGCCTTCAGCAGGTGAGTAGGTAGACAAATTGTGGTACATTCATACCATGGAATACTACCCAGTAATAAAAAGGAATGAACAGCTGATGCACACAACAACTTGAATGAACCTCCAGAGAATTATGCTAAGTGAAAAAGCCGATCCCAAAATGTTACATACGAGGTTTCACTATGTTGCCCAGGCTGGCCTCAAACTCCTGGGCTCAAGCAATCCTTCTACCTCAGCCTGCCATATAGCTGGAACTACAGGTGTGTACCAACATGCCTGGCTTACATGCATTCTTAAAATCCCAAAATTATAAAAATTGAGAACAGATTAGTGGTCGTCAGAGGTTACGCATAAAGAAGGGTAATGAGATAAAGATGAGTATGGTTATAAAACGGCAACAGGAGAGGTCATTTTGGTGATGGAACTGTTCAGTATCTTTTTTTTTTTTGAGATGGAGGTTTCACTCTGTTGCCCAGGCTGGAGTGCAGTGGCATGATCTCAGCTCACTGCAGCTTCTGCCTCCCGGGTTCAAACGATTCTCCTGCCTCAGCCTCCCGAGTATGTTCAGTATCTTGACTCTGGTGGTGGATACATGAACATACACATGTGATAAAATTGCACAGAGCTGAATACACACATATATACAAATGAGTGTACATGTGATATTACACTATACTTTTGCAAGATCTTAGACAACAGGTAAGAAAACCAGGAGATCTCTTTGTTTTATCCTTAAAACATCATGCCAATCTAGAATTGGTTCAATAAAAATTGCAATGTAAACTATTTTGAGTTCAAAAGAAACTAACCAAGGAAAAGCAGAATTTTGAGAAGCCAACAAGTTGTCATGTCTGAGGCATAATATATTGGCTGTAATCATTGTTTCTGCTGTGACAGACATTCACTGAGAGGAATGTCCACTTTTTACAGTTTTAACAAATGATTAGCTCTTAGTAATTAGATTTTGTTTTTCATGCTCGGGGCTTTAAAGAAATGACAAGGGACAATTTTTAAAAGTGGAAAATAAAATAATATCTAACCAAGAAACTGGAAAGGTCTCATCAGGAGAACTATTTTATTTGGACTTCATTGCAGCATACCTTTCATGTGAGTCATTAGTGACAAGATGTAGATATATTGAAAAGAATATATTGTTTTTCATAAGTCGTTGCACACCATTTCTTTGTTGATGCATTCATTCAGTCTTTCTAATTTTATTTAGCACTTTAAGAAAAGAACTTTATATGATGTATATCTTCACATTTTTAAAAGAACTATAGTCACCTATATATGCATTCAATAAACATCAAAGCCAGCGGGTCTTTATTACTTCTTGCAAGTTGACCGTAATTTATAATAACTCTGCTCAAAATATGATGGAATTTACTTGGACCACTATTCTCATTTATATTTAAATGCATACCATTAAAATCAGTGCAACTTTATCATGACTATTTTAATATCAGCCCCTGTGCATCATCAAATGAATATATACTAAGCAACATTCTTCTGAGGCAGTGTAACCTGAATTAAAAATGTATACACAAACTATATTGTCATTTACAATTTCAAAATTTTTGCTGAGATTCATAAAAAAGAACCCAGGCCAGCATTAAACTGTGATTGTCAGACATAGAGACAGAGTTCTAATACTTATCAGGCAAACTTTAAGTGATCGAGAAAAGTAAACTGCTAAAAAAAAAAAAGTAGTTTATTCTACTACAACTTCTGAAAACAGAATTGTGAAATTTTCCCTTAGCACAGCCATATATTTGAGTATAATCCCAATATTATGATTGGGAAAGTTGACCAAATAATTATTAACAATGTAAAAATTTATTTTAAAATACAAGCTTTGACATTTAAAATGTAATAGATAAATTTTATCATATGTCTAATTATATTTCAAAGAAGCTGTGAAGAATGTTAATGACAGAATATAGATAGTGTGTTGTTTCAGGCAGAATTCTAAGATGCTCCACCCAGTGATCCCCATTCTTGTATAACCCCCTGTACTTTGTGAGTAGAACCTATAAATATGATGAGACATTACCCTTGTGATAATGTGGCATTATATGACATAAAGGCCGATTAACTTGGCGGGGTCTCCTAATCAGGCAAGTCCTTTAAAAGCAGAGAGATTTCTCCAGCTGATCAAAGAGAAGGAACTCAGAGAGATGCAGAGCATGTGTTCTAGAAGAAAACAAGTATCCATGTCGTGTGCTGCCTATGTTGAAAGCCGTGCATCAAGGAACTGCAGGTGGCTTCTAGACACAGAGAATTGTTCCCAGACTGTAGCTAGCATATAAATGGAGACCACTGTCCTCCAACATCAAGAAAATAAAATTTGAAAACAACTAGTGCATTTGTGAAAGGATTCTGATCCCAGAGGACCACAGTCCTCCTTAATGCCTTGATTTCAGCCCCATGAAACCCTGAACAAAGAATCCAGTTATGCTGTGCTTGGACTTCCAACCTATAAAACCTATGAGATGATAAATATGTGTGTTCTTCTTAAGTCACTATGTGTTAACTAGCATTAGAAACAAATAAGTCTGTATACTATTATTCACTGTAAAATTATTTCAAATTAGTTGTATGTTTGAACATTCTCCTAATTAAATGTTGAGATAAAAATTAAAAATTCTAAAAGGGTGAGCAATATAGAAGTGGCTTGTTAATCTTCACAGCTGTAATAAGCATTGGTCTCTGGAAAAATAAAGGATCCTACATCCCAATCTTAGGCATAATTCATCTGAGTATGTGCCAGAAGTTGCAGAAATGTGTAATGGAGGATAATAAATAACTATGGTATACACTGCATTATGAAGTAGAAATAAAGTACTCTGAGTTACATCAAAATTTTCAATCAGACAGTTGGTTCCCTTAATGTATGAACTAATGTCTGACACATCGATCTCTTTAGTTGTCTGGCGAGAGAGTAATATGTATTGTCAGTAATGCAGAATTACATGATTCAATAAAGATCTTTTTAAAAGTCTTCTGGACAAAAGTTATCATTTCATTTACAGTTCCTCTGCATCAGTACTCAAGTTAATTTTCATGGTTAAGTATATTAAAATTTATAGAAATGAAATTTACCATGAATATTACAAAGCATGTGTGATTCCCATTTGAAACCAGTTTATTTCTCTGCAGAATGGTTTTTAAATTTGGCATCTTAATAGGACTGATCATCTATATTAGTTTTAAGTCTACGCCTGGTGGACTCCAAAACAGCAATCTATATATAAATTAACTAAATAAGAAAAATGAATAGCCAAATATCAGTGATAAATGGAATATATTTATGGTAACAAATTACATATTAAACACAATATCACAACATACAGACTTCATCTTCTTGCTTCTTGAGTCAATATTTAAGGAGTGATTCACTCATTTCACAAACTTTTATTCCATTTCTAATATACGAGACATACATTCAAAATAAATTTAAGAAGAATGAGCAATGGATGAAAATAAAGGCTGATAATATCTGGCAAGATGAAGTGAAATGACTACAAGTAAGATAGGTAAAACATATTTCAAAGACATGAAGAAAGGTAACATATCAATCTGTGGATGGAAAAAAAAACATGAAAAATAAATTGACTCTTTTTCTAGAATAATGAGTGAAATGCTTTGTTGTAAGCCTATGTGATTCAACAGCCACATATTGGATAGTAAGTCTCTACCAGTAGCTACTGAAGAGTGTATGTGTGTAATAAATGTGCAGTATTCATAATAATTAAGATATAGTTTATTGAGCACTTATTATTTTTAGGCATTGTTACTTTACATGTATTTTATAGGCAATATTTATTTAATTGTATGAATTATATACAATTATTTTGCCAGTCTAGACAGCCATATATTACCTAGTTGTATGCACAGACAACAGCAACAATAATTATAAACAGCAGCAGCAGCAACATCTAGAATTTATGAGAATTTACAAGAGTCAGCCATTAATATGAGACCTTGTGTTACCTATATTATCTCATTTAACCTTTGTAACAACCCCCCAAAGTAGTTGTTTTTTTCCTTAAACTCCCACTACATAGATGAAGAACATGTAATGCACCCAAATTAGTCACCTTCTAAATGGCAAAAATAGGACTAATGCACATCTGTCTGAATTCCATTTAACATCATGCATAATGCCATTCTGCCTATTGAATATGATGCTGTCTGCAAATGACATTATATAAATATGATCCTAGAAAATTAGATGTCTATGTAAACTATTCACAGTACACACATATACAACACATGTACACACAAACATTATAATTACTGACCTTCATTTTAGTCTTATAATCCCCAAGCAACACAAATAACCAATGTTTTCAAAGTCACAAGATGCATTTTAAAGTTTTTTTAGTTTTCAAACATCTCTAAAAATTTTGAAAGCATCTTGTGACTCTCAGACACATAAAATTGTGGCTAAACTATGCTTTATTTCAAAGATGCGGAAAATTTATCTTGTAGAAAAGGCACTTTTAAAAGCCAATGAGTTTTCTATGGATAAAATATTGAGATAAGCTTGCTGTGTTCATGACTGATAAGAAACAAAAATGTGTAGTTAGAGCACTCTATCACAGATTAATGCCATTAGTAGGTAAATTCCTGACTGCCCTGAGGCTGTAAACAATTGTCCATTGAGTTATTCTGCCCTGACAAGTTGCTGACTTGTATTATTCATGCTTTGGCATAAGTGGTTTTATAAATGATGGACTTCTTTCATCATCTGTGATTAAATATGGGTGCAGAAACCAAGGGAAACAACCACAACAAAACTAGAACTGAAGATTGAAGTTACTGCTGTGGAGCTTTAAGAGGTTAAGGAGAGATAAGGGGGTACTTGTTAGAGGTGCTTAGTGAACATTGATAATCTCCTAAAGGGAATTTATGACTTCTTTTGAAATTATATCCCTGTACTGACAATTGGACTATAACAATAATAGAAAGAAAATTTACTATAAACAATGAGAACTATCTTTTATTGAGTTTACTATGTGCCAGGCATTATGCTAAAGCCTTACATGCATTATCTTATTAAATTCTCCAAATACACTTCTGTATTTGGAAATGTTACTGTCCCATTTTACAGATGAGTTAAATGAAACATACTGAATTTAAGTGATTAAATGCCAAAAAAGGATAAATTGCTCACAGTAACAGAGGTAAAATTAGCAGATATGAAATTTCAACTCAAACTCATCTGATTCCAAAGCCTGCTATACTGACAAAATAAAAGCCATTGATAAAATTATTGATCTTTATGGATTTCATTTTCTGTAATCTAAATCTGATTATAAATTTAAAATAAATAGTAAAGGATATTTTGCTATATTAATAAATTTTTAAAATATACTTTAAAAAAACCACAAATTTCTCCTCCTATAAAAGATCAAGTTTAGCTGTATACTAGAATGACAAAAATGAAGAATTCTCCTGCACAGACTCCAATCTGTCAGATAAATCATGGCAGGTGTCTTTTTTTCTTCAACAATTTAAAGAATTGAAAATCACAGTTTCTAAGTTGGATTTACAATTTTGATTTACTTGGCAAAAGCTTTCACCAGACAAATTGTCTTCATTAGAGAAGAAAAAATAAATTGATTCCCTCATTGATAGTCTCAGTGAGCATCAAGTTGTCTAAGTCGGCATCTCATTGTACATTGTGGACAATTTCTAAGAGTATTTTATGAAAATTTATTTTCTCTTTGTAGGCCTATTAAGCAGTACCAACATATTAACCAGATAAAAGGATTTATGCCCATATTTTCAAAATAAACAGAAAATATTTTTCTAGACTCTATACATAGTAACATAATGCATAAGAATGGCCACAATCACCAGTATGATTTTATCAATACCTGCCAGGCTTCTCTTCTTTGCTGGCTTGATTCTTACTAGTTCTTTATGGAGTGATTTTTAGCCTTTTGTAAAAACATGTGTTTCTTCTTTATCTTCTATACATTTTCCCTATCATTACCTAATTCTTGTGGAGCATCAAGGCAGTAAGGTAAAATTTTAGAAACAGGAAAGTATGTCAATGAGTCATAAGAGGAATTGGTTATAAGGTTAAGACAAGTGCTACTTTGACAAATTTAAAAACCATTATTAAGAAAAATACACAAAATAATTAAGATCTAGTTTTGTGTTACCTATTTGTTTTCTCACAATGCAAATAAACATAGCTCATTTTCAAAATTATTTTTCATTAAAAAAATCTGCTTCCCTATCTCTGAGTATCTAATCCCATTCACTAGTCCAATTTGTTCAAGACTTACAGTAGGGGATCTGGAATGGTTTTCAGATGGCAGCTAACCATGCCTTAAGTCTCCATGGTACGTTAATTCTTTGTTCTTCCGATGTTCAAAATAGTCACAGTAATCAAATCTACTTAAGATATATTTGGATAAGCAAATTCAGATTTCTTTGGTAAAATGTTGAGAAATGAAATATCTTAATACAGACTGTTAGCATTTTGTTATATGAAAAATAGATAATTTTTATTACAATTATATTAGCATATGGAAATGTCAGTTTGTGGTAATGTGGTGGTAGTTGATTAGGCCATCTTATCCAATATTATCTGTATTTATTAGGGAAACATTAGTTCAATACCGTGATAACATGTTTTTCAGATAAAGAAAGCCAAAATCCTACCCCGGGCTGTACGTGAAGGATGACAGTCCACTCTGAGATGCATTGCAAGCTATTGTTTGATCAATAATCATTTAGTTTTGATTTGCAGTTCAAGCAAGTGCAAAGCTGGATTCTTCTCAACATGATCCCATTGCATATGCTTCCAAATTGGTTCTTCAAAAAAATTAACTCTACTCTTTTATTCATTCCCTTATGAAATAATAAAATATAAAGATAATTTTGAATGGTGAAGTCTTACTCTGTTTGCTTTATCAAAGCTCTAGAGCTGCAAACCAACTTTGTCATTTTCTGCAGTAATAATAATTTTTAAAATTCCATCTGCAGAAAATTGTGACATATCATATCAGCTACAAAAAACAAATTTGGAACACCTGTGTTAAAAGAGAGAGTGGGCTTTCGAGTTTATTTTACATATGTTTGGTTTTCTATTATTATTTATACTACACCACCTTTATCAGAAAATATTTATACTAAGATTAAGGGGCCTTATTTGTCAAAACTCTTAAAGAATTGGTAAGAATTAACATTGCCTATGAAATCATAACCCAGACCTGACAGCTATAATTCAGTGCAACCCAATCATGCAAAGCCTCCGGGAATCTCAGGGCTACTTTTTAAAATCTAAGAATACAACCAAGAATCATCTTTATCAGTAAGATGCTAGATTCATGGACTATAATATATTTAAAAAAATTTTGTGCTTTTATTTCTCTTTCTTTTTTATCATATTCGTATGTAATTTTATCTTAATAACTTCTATCCTTCTGCAGCTTCTTTCTGAAGCAGCAGTTTCTTCATCTTGTATCTCTTTTTCTTTTTTTATTGTAATCATATGGACTTTCAATTTTTGAAAAATTTCCTGCTTCTGAAGTTTCTTTTCTAAAATGTGTATTGAAACACATTTTGGAAATAGCATATAACTTAAAAAGGATAATTTTTCCTTTACAATTAAAAAACACATGGGAGAAGAAATGTTTTATTATCTTTTAATGCACAGCATCTTAATAAAGACATGGTTTCAATAATAATAAAAATTATTCCTCCTGAACATGTGTGTAAAACTCATTGTTTCCTCCATGGTTCTTATTAATATAAGAAAATGACAATTGTCTCCAAATCTAAATGCTCACAATGGGAAAAAGAAAAAAACAGAGAAATGCTTTTAAGGTATGAGTATAAAACCCTTTATATTATTTGTTCTTTCATCTAAATCAAACTATGTAATATTCTTTGTATTCTCTGAGCTTTTTCATAAAGTGCTGCAAATTATGTATATACACACACACACATACACACACATAATTCCCTTGGAAAACGGAGTCTAAAATTAAAAACCCCAATGGGTTTGTTGAATGTCATTACCAGAATGCATGACAAAACTATCTTATATGTTAGATTTGATATGTCTGGTTTCAAAAGTACATTAAGTACACACAGCCATGCCTTAATAATGCATCATTTTGCCTAGGGATATTGCCCACTTCACGTCTTCTGGTATGATTGTGAGTGCTGCTTCATTTGCCACCCTGGCAACTGTTGCCCCATACCTCCCTCTTGTAGCTATCACTATAATTATCATTTTATCTGCATGCTCTGACTAGTGAGAGTCTTCTTGTAGATAACTTTTAGTTCTATAACTATTGACATGCTATAGACAAGCAAAGATGAAGATTAAGCTATTCAGTGTTGTCAAGCTTATATTGATTAAAAATAAAAGATGTATTTTTTTAAAAGAACATCATTTTCTAGAAAAGTGGTAAGTGCTTTCCCATTTTAGAAACTAATTATAACAATACTATTGAATTATCTGGATTGTCTTGGCTCATTTATGACATCCTTCAACATCAAGGTTTAGAAGCAGTGCATTATTCTGTGAAAGTCAAGCTGCTAAAACTATGCCAATATTGACAGAAAAAATTGAAATCACTGTTTCTTCATATAGTCATAAACTTGAAGTTTCCTTTCATTTGGTAGAATTGCTTTTTTAAAATCAGTGAATACAACAATAAAAATGAAGTATGCTGTGAAAAAAATATTAAAAGTTTAATTGAAACACAACTATTCTTGTATCCATAACACACTGTGGCCTTTATTAGTTAAGTTTGAAGCACACTTAAAATTACTGTGGCTAGTGTAGCTACTTTCTGAATTCAAAAACATCCATAGAATTAACATACATTCTTCACTATGTTGGCTCCAGGTAAATATTTCTATAAAGAAAATAATTGTTTTTTCTGTGAACTAAAGTACACACACAATGCATGTCCACTTTAGTTCCAAGAATGATTTCAATTAACCTTACACAATAAATCACAGTATAAAATAGGCTAAAAGTGAGTAAAAATAGAAAAACAAAACCATCAAAAACTGAAACATAGATACACTTATAACTCGTGAATGTTTTAATTTTATAGTTAAGCAAAGGACTTAGCTCTAACCTTGCATGACAACTAAAGCATAAAGAGAAACATTTAAGTTACTACTTAGGCCTATGTCATATTGTTCCTGAAGTTTCTGAAGAGTTGCATGTTAAATATTATGTAGAGTGTTATGTAATGTTTTCTGTATCATTAAAAAAATGGGAAAGGACTATGTGTTTCCAGGTACTAAGTATGACAATAGGATAAAAAAAACATAATCAGTGAGATAAAACGTTATTACAATGCTGTAATATTACCAATATAAGGAAGCAATACACAATAAGAATTATTACCTAAGAGTACAATCGACTGAGGCTCTAGGAGGCATTAGGTAGGGTTTAGGATGCAGAAAATCAAAAGAAGCAATGGATAAGGACAGGTGAGGAGCTGGGGTAGAGTCAGATTTTACTATTTAATTATATTTAGGGCAGGCCGGGCGCGGTGGCTCACGCCTGTAATCCCAGCACTTTGGGAGGCCGCGGTGGGCGGATCAGGAGGTCGGGAGATGGAGACCATCCTGGCTAACATGGTGAAACCCCATCTCTACTAAAAATACAAAAAATTAGCCGGGCGTGGTGGCGGGCGCCTATAGTCCCAGCTACTCGCGATGCTGAGGCGGGAGAATGGCGTGAAGCAGAAGGCGGAGCTTACAGTGAGCCAAGATCGCACCACTGCACTCCAGCCTGGGCGACAAAACGAGACTCCGTCTCAATAATAATAATTTAAAAAAATTATATTTAGGGCATATCTGAAGGTCAGGACTAGCCTAGCTGAGAAAATCTAAATAATTATATTTTTATCTTTAGATTTATTGTCTATGTCTATAGGATCTGAAAAAATAAGTGAATACATGTAGGCAAGCACACGTGCAAAGCCCCATGAGACCACACAACTATGTTAATTGATGAGTAGAGATGTCTGCCCTGTTAGTTGGTCATTCATAAGATATTTATATTTCTAGCAAACTTTAGAGAAAACATTTAAGCATTAAGTATATACAGGGCATTTAGGGTATTTTTCAGGATTTGGGAAAATACGAAATCAACAAAGTTGCAGAGTGCACCATCTAGTGGTTCACTATAGTACATGACAATATACTCTAGTCTTGACTGTTAGACCGCACAGGGTCCTTGTTTTATGCCTTGCCTTCCCCTCACCTCTGTTGCCACTGACCTTTCTATTCCATTATTTTGAGGAGACCTGAACACAGTGATCATGGCTTTTATAATATACACCACCATACATCTGTTCTATGCCATTGTTGATGAAAAAACAGAGAAACTTTTTATCAAATAATTCCTCAACACCTCATTAACGCAATAATAATGGCTGCAATATATCTCAAGATCGATGAATAAATGAATATCAAATGAATTTATCTCTCTTTCGTCACAAAACTGATATAACATTTGGAGCAGTATATGGGCCCTTCCCTCCGAATAGTTCCGCAAATCTCCAAGTGTGGCCTAAGATGGAAATTACTCTACATAGTCACATTGGAATGAAGTGAGCCTTCTCTGTTCTTTCCAGCCCAAAGATGGACTCAAGAGGCTGTCCATGGTAATCCCATGAGCGCTACTACGGACTGAGATATTTCATGGCCAAGTGTCATTCTTGGGGAGTAGCGTACCTACTAGCCAATGTCCATAAGAACTTAAAATTGGCATATGCCTTGTAATCTCCCATTTTATATACCTGTTCATACACCAGAAGATCCTTTTCATACTTGGGAGAGTCTCATTCAACTAATTGCTAATGACCAGAGAATTGAAACCACATACTTAACTGTTCCCGTATACCATTGCATCTCTACTCAGCTGCAAAGGGCAAGTACAAACATATTAAAGGCCCTGTAGGTCTAATTCAAACAACGATTTTCCTAGTACTTTGTTTCCTTTGCTAGCATGCTTATATCAGAATGGAATTTCCCCAGCTCATCCACTTAGCCTCCTACTGACATTTTTAATGCCATTGTTATAATTGTTTATAGTAATAGAAAAAATGAAAATTTTCAGAGATGGCTTTTCTTTCAAATGATCTGGCAATTTTCCACTTAAATCCTCAGCTGTATGTAGCACACAAAATCTTGCATATAAAAATTACAAAATTTTAAATGGCTGAAGTTTTTCCTCACTAGCTTACTTTTTAAATTAGCAAACAATAAAAAAAGAGCTTATTTCTAATTCTCTTCTGATACCTCAAAATGGGCACATTTTGGAAAACAAACCAAAAAAATATTCCCATCTACCAGGACAGACAAAATAAAAAAGCATTTAGAGTCCGTTTCTGTTTCTAATTTGGGTGAAGTTATCTATGATACATAGACACATTCTCTACTAAAAAGTGAGCTAAATACTGAAAACTGCCTCAAGCTGCTGTCTTTGCTCTCCATACTCGCAGATGTTGGTGAAGAATTGCAGTGATTTTACTGCTAATTCCCTATTGCCACATTCTGTACCTCCAGACTCTATTCTATGGCTGTGGCAGATTGAAAATTAGAAGGCCCTGAAACAGTGACTAATGTTCTTCCAGTCCTGTCTGCACTGCCGTTTTCTCCTGTAGTATGGCTACCAATGGAGAATCAATTTGGAAATTCCCTTCAGCAAATGGATTCTCTGGAATATTTGCTGACAGTAGCAGAACATTTATCAGCAGCACTGGCAAGTTGTTTAGCAACCTCTTTCCGTGGTCTTTTCATCCCTTTTCATCTGAAAAGTAAAAGGAATTCCCAGGATACCAGCTCCATTGGTCACTCTAATAACATCCATATTCACCAAACCGGGATGACTTCTGTGTAGAGAAAGGCAATTGCCTTTCAGCAGGAATATATATGTATATATTATATATATATTTTATATATATTATATATATTATATATGTATTTTATATATTATATATTATAGATATTATATATGTATTTTATATATATTATATATTATAGATATTATATATGTATTTTATATATATTATATATAATATATATTTTATAAATTATATATAAATATATAATATATATTTATATATTATATATATATTCATAGACATTCTTTAGGGCAAAATCGAGACATACAAAACAAAAATAAAACAATGAGAAAACAATCTGAGTTCCAGAGGACACTGTAAGTATACATTTTCAAACTGACTTAAAACTTTTTTTTTACTTCATGTGTTATACAAATTATATGAGGAAAATAGCTCATATTTCCTGCATGTTGACATTTTTCTAAAACAAATTTCCTTATACTAAAAAAAGTTTTCAAGTATTTTTAGTACAAATGTACTTCAGGATATGACAAAGATTTTTGCCATACAAAGATGGAATATTATCTCACTCTAATATTATCCAAATTTCTAGTGATTGCCCTCCCTTGATTTTAATTACCCACTGTAAGCCACAGTACATTAGTTCAAAGCAATAAAAAGTCATCCACATTTCCGGGTTTCTAAACTTGAAAATTATTTTAATGCATTTTATAAGGTATTCTGAACCATATCTAGTTAGGCATTTGGTTTTATTAGGGGCCTTTTCTTAGGGTGGCCAGAAAACTATTTTCCAAAAAAGGGAGATCATAAGCCAAAATTACATAATTTCTCTCACTGACAATATCAGGAACTAGGCTGCTTGGTAAGTTTGGTCATGTTTCCAGAAGTAAATAAATTTACTTTCAATATTCCTTCAGTGTTTTGATTTCATTTTATCCAGAATAAATATTAAAATCTTATTTTAGACTTGTCAATGGCCTGAATGCCTAATGACAATATAAAATTGGAAAAGTTATAATTATTCCCAGAAAAAACTCATGTCACCTCTGCCACTCTTTTGATATTAGCTGATTTATTTCAGGTGCTGTCATGAAAGTTTTAAGTCTAGAGTTTTTCTTCTCTCTAGGCTGTTAATGCATTCTGGCATTATTAATGGTTCCCTTATGGAATCACATAGTAAGTTGAAAACTCAACTCTCTAGGCGTTGGCATTTATATTTCAGAATCACTTAGCAGGGATGAAAACAAATTTAAACTCTTCTGTGTCAAGCAATCCCACCACTCAATCATCTTCATAAATTGTCTGAGGAGAAAGATGAGACCTTGGCAAAATGAGGGGAGACCTCATGACTACTGCATGTTGTCCTTATAATTTGATTGATACTCCTACCCCCTTAAATGCCATCTTTGTTTTCCCTGCTATGCCTTCACTCATGCTGTTGACAATTTCCCCACTTAGCAGCCCAAAAGAATATTCTCCCTATTTTCTCCCATCCAAGTCAGACCAATTTCTAAATGTCCAGTTCAAATCTCACCTTTTCCAAAGTGTTTACTGAGTACTGTAGACCACATCATTCTCACTGGTCTTAAACTCTTAGGGTACCTAAAGTCTGTAGTGCATAATTTAGTACTTAATTGAAAGGAGATTTGCGATTTTTAATGTGAATCTTTTCTCCCAATCTAAGACATAGGTTTGTTGGAGGAAAGAAATACTCTTTGAGTATCTTTGGATCTCTTAGCCTATACAATGCACACTTGAAAATATGATTAATTGTTTTTGGTGTGATGTCTATAAGGAAAGACAAGGTCTCACATAGTGAAAAAGTTAATCACCACTTTTCAGTGGGAGAAAAAGGGTTTTGCTACTGTTTGAAGATAAATAGTGCAAGTGGCCTAGATAATGTCCTTTCTTTCACATCAAAAATTTTTTTTCAAGTAATAATATCAGCTGCCCTTTTACAGCTTTGGCTGTCAGCATTGGCTTAATTACTTCACATGCATTATTGAACTTAGTCTTTCCAAAAGCCCTATGCATCAGGTATGGTAGTATCATCTACATTTTACCAATGAGAAAACTGTGAGACTTAAAGCAATTAACTAGTTTGCCCATTGTTGTATAGTTAGTAAGGACTAAACTAAGATTGAAACCCGGGTTTGACTGTTTCCAAAGCCCATACGTTTAAAGCACCAAGTATGTTCTACTGCCTCCCCAAAAGAGAAGCTGAATTCAAAGGAGAGGAAACAAATGTAGAATTCTTACTGAAAAATTTGAATGTAGATGTCATGACATGGGCAGACCTTAGGGATACACTGTGGTCTTAACCTCCAAGACTTAGGCACTCATTTTCTCTGTCTTGTCAGGACTTAAATTACTGTGTAAGTATATGTCAGAGAACATGGAAAACATCACTATCTTCTTTCAGATCACTAAGTCATTCAATTAATCAGTATACATTTATTGCTTGAGTAGTCCAGCGTAATAGAATACAATCTGTTAGGTGTTTTAACACAAGTTTCAATGTCCAACTAACTAGTAGACATCCAAAAACAAAAATGCAGATCAACATGTTTTGGCTGCATTGTTGGTAAGACTACCTTCCCTTAAACACTGTGAACACAAAAATAGAAACTTGAAGGAATTGATGATCTTTCAGTAACAGGTATAACACAGTTTTTGCTGTCTGTTTTCCATGAATTTCTATTTCATTTTATTGTTAATCTTAAAATTGTCTTATTATCACTACTTAATGCATACATGTTTCACTTTCAAAGATATAGTCTTTTTCATAAAATATATACAACTATTTTGCATTTTTTGATAGAGCAATGTTCCTCATGTTCATTATTAAATGGATATGATTGTTTAGTTTTCTAAATTTTAATGGTTTGCAGAATTTTTCAATAGGCTCCTAGTATATCTTTATAGTGACTACATTATAGTATCTATGAAATTATAAAAACAAACATGAAACTCTAATGGTTTTACTCGTTAAAACCCACAAAAACTTACAAATCTGTTTCTGTCCCTAAGGAAAATAGAAACACAGAAATATAACAAATTGAATTGTAGATAACATTTTGTAAAGGGCTGCAGCAATGTTATTTAAGTTTGGGAGATAAAACATACTAATTACAAGGAGATTTTATTTGCAGGAACAAAAGGCACAAATTTCTTAGTTGAAAACTTTAAGAAAATAGAATAATATTTGCCAGGAAACCCAACAGCTTTAGGATTATTAGGCATAACCAGGAACATTGTCACATCTATCTCAGAAAATATATTTCTAAAATGAAAAGAAATTTGGGTGGATATTAATGACTAGAACGTACTGAAATTTGCGTTAAGTTTATAGATCTTGAAACACTAAGCAATGCCAGGAAAAAAAAATAGAAAACAGAAAAAGGGAGTTAAAACTAGTATATTTTATAGGATCAATGTGGAGATCAGTTGTTACATTTGGCAATGAAATAAAAGAGGTTGAAGGAAGCTCAGGGAAAGGCAAGGAGTGAAATTCAGATGCAGACACTATAAGTGCACTCCTTAGAGGAA
Organism: Homo sapiens; assembly: GCF_000001405.40. NCBI lineage: Eukaryota > Metazoa > Chordata > Mammalia > Primates > Hominidae > Homo > Homo sapiens. Next base: position 92,227,132 of record NC_000023.11, on the reverse strand, counting down.
ATTTGCTATTACAGCTGGGTCACAGTGTGTGAGTTACGAGACAATGATATACAATGACTGGCAAACTTGCTAATGCTCAGAATGTATACTTTATCTGTTAATTACTAAAAGTACGTGTGCCCTGAAATTATAATCACAGTAAAAATTAATGTGGGTATTTCCTTATCTGCTTCAAAATTTCTTCTAAGGATTAATTTAAAAAACAAACCAAGTAAACAAGCCACTTGAGAGTCCATCTGCCTCTTTATCTCTAAAACTTTTTATGCTCTTCCATGATTAAAGCTCAGAATCAAAAAATTGTAAGCATTGGGACTCAGAAAAGGATAGCATACACGGAAAGCCTCCAGATGCAGTCTCAGAAGCAATGTCTCTCTCTGGTGTTCTCCTGCCCTCCCGTCTGGCAGCCTCATTCTCCCTGAGGCTAGACTACCCATAGAAACTATAATCCCTCTTCTCCAAAGGGGGCCAAAATAACCCAAACATCTTCCCCAAAGCTAGTCATTAAACCTAAAAATATTACTCTTTTTCCTGCTTTTCTTTAAGCAGTTTAATTTTACTGTAACTTTCTCCTGCTTTTCTTTACAGCCAGTAGGAACTAATACTTGAATTTTAATTCCAATAAGAACTGGCCGTAAAGAAATTCGCTATACTACCTTGTTTGATTATGGGTCATAGCACCCCATTCCAGAGACAGTCAGCTCCATACCTAAAAGGAAGGAAAATAGCATAGACAGGACAAGAAGAATTTGAACAGATAGGCCTTGCTAGATTTCTCTACTCGATCTATTAACATTAAATTATACCCTTTTTGCCCAATCAAAGTTCTACATAGCTGCCCATTCTTCACTGAATCTAAGCATAGAAATGGATATTTTTCCCTGTATCTTTGAATCTTCATTCTGAAGGTTACCATGTAACATAAAACTATAATCAAATAAATCTGTTATGCTTTTCTCTTGTTAAACTGTCTTTTGTTATTGGGGTGTTGGCCAAGGCACTTACGATGAGGAGGAAAGGGATCATCCCCTCCCCTTTCTGTCCCTACATAAGGGTACAAATTGTGTGTGTGTTTTAATATTCCCCAAAGAATATTTTGTAGTAGTCTGAATTTTGCATCCAAATAACCTTTCGATACCTGAAGATGAAGAATAGTTTTTGATTGTTAATGTTTTGCTCTCATACTTGTTCCCCAAAATAAAAATTCTAAGGATGATGCAACTGAATCAAAAATTGATCTATTTCAATTTAAGACTTTTCCTGCAGATATTGAAGCACCTCTGTTGATTAGGACATACTTTGCTTAAAAAGAGAAAAATATACAAAAGAAATTCTCACATAAACCAGGAGATCTGGTTTCTAACTCTGCCACTAACTACTTTTGTGAGCTTGGAAAATAATAACTATTACTGTTGCTTGAGGTACTGTGCTTTATTTATTTTCTTAATTTTGCAAAATCTTATGTCGTTGTTCTTAACCCCATCTTCACCATTCTAATATTTGAATTCCAGCTCCAGTGCCTTTACCAACAAGAATTCTTTCCTGATCTCCACTCCCAGTCAAATGTAATCACTTCTTTTGCATGGACACAGCATATTACTTATTCTACCATTTAGCACCCATTTTGTTTCATCTTTTATAATTGGTGGTTGAAAAAATACTCTTTCTTACCAAACTATGAGCAACTAGAAGTCAAGGCCTTTATTATTTTTTTCTTTTCTCTTTTACATGATTATATTTCCAGTTTATTTCCTCAGGACTTAGCACAAACTAAGCCCTCAGTAAACGCTTTTTTTTTTTTTTTGAATTATTGTGTTAAGTGAAACTAAAACAAGGGAGAAATACTACAAACAGCTTATTCTAAAAACTATTAAACCAGCAGAGAAAGTGAGACATATGGCAAAAATAGTTTATTTACCTCATTTAGAGCAAAATATGTTTTGTACAGGTGTAAATTATATTGCCTTAGAAGAGCTAACTCAAACAGACATTTTTATTAGAAAATTAAAAGAAAAAATGTGTATTTGACATGTTGTAAAACACCCCTTTAGGCTAACAACAGTCTTTTTAATAGTTGTTGCAATAGAAAAAATACCAACAGAAGCCCAATATGTTTCTATACTACATACTAACAGCAGTATCAAACACTCAGAAGTGATGCAAGGGAAAAAAGAAAAGAAGAGCACTTGCATTGGTGGAGGACACCCACTGAATTCTCACAGCACACACAATTGGGCAAGAGATAATCACTTTAGATGGAGCAAAGGTAAGTGGCACCTAGTGCACATGATCAGTGATTAAGTGTAAATTTTAAAAGGTTGCTATAGTTGTTTTTCTTGCAATTATTTCCTTTTAGAAGTTGTTAAAAGCTTCAGACAAATTAAATTTAACAGAATTTAATTAAGCAATGAATCATTCGAGAATTGGGCAGTACTCAGAATCAGTAGACATTCAGAGAGCTCTACCCCACAAGTGGGCAGGCAACATTTATGGACAGAAAACAGAAGTGAGACACAGGAAACAGAAGTGAGGTACAGAAACAGCTTGATTAGTTACTGCTCAGCCTTGGCCATACATGAACACAGTCTTGTCAGTTGACAGGCTGTTATTGGCTGAAAATATACCTAAGCTAGGCTTTCCATTTGTTTACATACTAAGTTAAGTTGTAATTTGTTATGTAGAAACTCAAGGTACGGAGGCATCCTCAGGCCAAATTTAATTTAATTTAACAAAATGCATATGTTAGACACCTTCAAGGATCAAAAAAGTCTATTTAAAAAAAAATCTAATATCTCCCACAAACATTCTCTACTATCATCTCTTTAAGGGATCAAGAAGACATGGTCTGCTGGTAAAATTACCCCAGTGTTGCCTTCAGTGGCATCAGCCTAAATAAGCATCACTGCCTCAAAGAGTCAGCACAGCTGTGTAACTGAACATTCATTTTGCCTTAAGTCTCAACATGCCTTAATCAGATACTTCTTCTGAATCACCTACTGTCAATGGGGGAAGAAAGTTGAGAGTAGGAGTTAGAGGTGTCACAGTTCTTACTCCTTGTATCAGAGTACTTAAGACACTTCCTTATAGAAATTTCTTCTACACAAAAAGGCAAATGGCCAAAGAGGTCCTCGATAATATCCCTCATGGTACATATAATGTGTGCATTAAAGAACTGAGGCAGATCACCAAACTTTATAACTTTAGCATTTGTGTAACCGTAGCATTTATAAGTCTTGCAAGCAGGTTCCCATTTATGTAAATACACAGAATACATACATACACCATATGTATATATGGTGTAAGTTACATTTATTGAATGTTCACTATGTGCTAGACACTGTACTAAGTGCTTTATATAGGTTAAGTAATAGAATCCACAGTAATCACTGATTAAATAAATCTAATTATTATTGTCATGACAAATGGTGGAAATAAAACTCAGAGCTATTAAATAGTTTGGTGAAAATTACATAGTGAGTCAGTCGCAACATTGGTATTCAAACCCAAAATTATCTGACCTCAAAGCCCAAGTTCTTATGTGACATAATATGTTGCCTCTTAGTTTTGGTGGATACCAGTTGCTTCAGGTGAGAGAAGATGGTTGTACCTGGCAATGAAGAACACTAAGTGAGTATAAGATACTATGCTAGGTGTGGAGTCATGAGTTAAAAATAATCTCTGCTCTTAAGAACTCACATTGTACTGGGGGAATATGACATAGGCATAGAAGCTTGCAGTGTAAATTTGTGTGTGAGAGGAATAGACACAGTGTTAGTGAAGTTAGTGAAGTTCAAAGAATGGAGAGCTAAAAGCCAGGTGGGTGCTTTGAAAGATGAATAAGAAGGTAGTGGCTAAGCACATAAGCAAACAGCACTGATTGGGAAAGGAGAAATATATACAAATAAGTAGGGAGGAATGAATAAAAGGGATGAATTAAAGAAAGAGCAAAGAATCCAGTTTGGAACATAAGTATGCATTTAAAAATTAGGCATGTGTGTGGCTCACGCCTGTAATCCCAGCAACTACAGAGGCTGAGTTGGCAGGATCACTTGAGCCCAGGAATTGGAGGCTGCAGTGAGCTATGTTTACACTGCTGCACTCCAGCCTGAGCAACAGAGCAAAACCATGTCTGTAAAAATAAAGAAATAAAAAACAAAATTAACCAGTGACAAGACCAGAAAGAAAGGTGTAGGCCAAAACATGGATAGGCATGAAAGTAACTTTACACTTCTTTCAGTGAACAACGGGTGACGGAAAAACTTGAAGCTAGGATGATCCATACATCAGGGCTGGAATTTAGAATGAAAAATATGGTAGCTCTTTGAGAATGGACCAAGGGGAAATCTAGGAGAGGGGAAAGGATGTGGAGTTTGACAGCAATAGTCCATGTGATGTGTTTTGCAGCCTTAGTATACCTACGGAGATGAAATACATTTGGAAACTCACTCTTGTGAATTATTTCTATGATAAATTAAACCTGACCAAAGATCATTGCAGAAACCTGGTGAGAGTATCAATATGAGTGGAAAGTTGGAACGTCTTCAGTTGTCCTATCGTATTTCCAACAACTTTATGTTACTAACAACAACAACAAAAGAATTCTACATCATAGAAAAGAGCCAACAACTGTAGGGAGATCGGGATGCTCTACAATGGATGCTAACATGAAATTGCAGCAGGAAACAACAGCAGGGGAGAACTATCTATTATAAAGTAAAAGAAAATAAAACAAAACAGACAAATCTTTAAAGTCTCACAGGCATGCAACTTGCTAAATTGTTGTAGTATTTTTTCTTTTACATTTGGGCACTAACATTTAAATAGGGCAATCCGACATTTTTACCTGTGAAACAGAGTGTTTCTAAAGAAACAAGTCCTGAAATTATAAATTCAACATTTACATTGAGTAATCTTCCAAAACTGAGATACAAAATACTTTCACATCACACCAAAGAGCTCCCTGCCATTGTATAATCCTTTAAAAAAAAAAATCTATTGAAGAGGCTGGGCATGGTGGCTCACGCCTGTAATCCCAGCACTTTGGGAAGCCAAGGAGGGTGGATCATCTGAGGTCAGGAGTTCAAGACCAGCCTGACCAACATAATGAAACCCCATCTCTACTAAAAATACAAAAATTAGCTGAGTATGGTGGCGTGCACCTGTAAGCCCAGCTGCTCAGGAGGCTGAGGCAGGAAAATATCTTGAACCCAGGAGGCGGAGATTGCAGTGAGCTGAGATCGTGATTGCATCCAGCCTGGGCAACAAGAGCAAAACCCTGTCTCAAAAAAAAAAAATCTATTTAAGAAAATGGTTTGCTCTGAAATTATGCTGGAAGTCAACAATTAATCTAATGGTCATACAGTAGACCCATAAAAGAGATTGTGAAAAGGTTCACTTTGATTTTTATTATTTTTAATTTTAACTCTAGATTACATCAGCAAATGTTTTAAAGTAACTAATATTTGCTACTACAGATCTGAGCAAACTCAGTGGTGTTTCTTTAAAGACAATCTCTCAAATTTGCTTATAATAGTTCTAGATTAGTCAAAGTAAGTATTTTCAGCATATAACATGCTGATCAAATAAGCTGATATACAAACTTGAATCAACAGAATTTTTGTTTCCTTAACAATAACTCCTGCCAAAATCAACAAAGAGGCACAGACATATAATGTCTCTGGCCTTTATCTAGCCTTCCTCTATAGATACTTCTGAAGGTTCTCAGCCTGTTCAGCCACTTGAGGTGATAGCCAACTTTGCCTCGGACCAGAACCAATCTGCACCATACCTGGAAGTACTTCGTATATATGTGTGTGTGTGTGTGTGTGTGTGTGTGTGTGTGTGTGTGTGTGTGTGTTGTATACAATGTTTTCTTTTTTAAAAAAAAAATGAGCAATTTTTCATTTTTATTTATTTTTATTTATTTTTTTATTATTATTATACTTTAAGTTTTAGGGTACATGTGCACAATGTGCAGGTTAGTTACATATGTATACATGTGCCATGCTGGTGTGCTGCACCCATTAACTCGTCATTTAGCATTAGGTATATCTCCTAATGCTATCCCTCCCCCCTCCCCCCACCCCACAACAGTCCCCAGAGTGTGATGTTCCCCTTCCTGTGTCCATGTGTTATCATTGTTCAATTCCCACCTATGAGTGAGAACATGGGGTGTTTGGTTTTTTGTTCTTGTGATAGTTTACTGAGAATGATGATTTCCAATTTCATCCATGTCCTTACAAAGGACATGAACTCATCACTTTTTATGGCTGCATAGTATTCCATGGTGTATATGTGCCACATTTTCTTAATCCAGTCTATCATTGTTGGACATTTGGGTTGGTTCCAAGTCTTTGCTATTGTGAATAGTGCCGCAATAAACATACCTGTGCATGTGTCTTTATAGCAGCATGATTTATAGTCCTTTGGGTATATATCCAGTAATGGGGTGGCTGGGTCAAATGGTATTTCTAGTTCTACATCCCTGAGGAATCGCCACACTGACTTCCACAATGGTTGAACTAGTTTGCAGTCCCACCAACAGTGTAAAAGTGTTCCTATTTCTCCACATCCTCTCCAGCACCTGTTGTTTCCTGACTTTTTAATGATTGCCCTTCTAACTGGTGTGAGGTGGTATCTCATTGTGGTTTTGATTTGCATTTCTCTGATGGCCAGTGATGGTGAGCATTTTTTCATGTGTTTTTTGGCTGCATAAATGTCTTCTTTTGAGAAGTGTCTGTTCATGTCCTTTGCCCACTTTTTGATGGGGTTGTTTGTTTCTTTCTTGTAAATTTGTTTGAGTTCATTGTAGATTCTAGATATTAGCCCTTTGTCAGATGAGTAGGTGGCGAAAATTTTCTCCCATTTTGTAGGTTGCCTGTTCACTCTGATGGTAGTTTCTTTTGCTGTGCAGAAGCTCTTTAGTTTAATTAGATCCCATTTGTCAATTTTGGCTTTTGTTGCCATTGCTTTTGGTGTTCTAGACATGAAGTCCTTGCCCATGCCTATGTCCTGAATGGTAATGCCTAGGTTTTCTTCTAGGGTTTTTATGGTTTTAGGTCTAACGTTTAAGTCTTTAATCCATCTTGAATTGATTTTTGTATAAGGTGTAAGGAAGGGATCCAGTTTCAGCTTTCTACGTATGGCTAGCCAGTTTTCCCAGCACCATTTATTAAATAGGGAATCCTTTCCCCATTGCTTGTTTTTCTCAGGTTTGTCAAAGATCAGATAGTTGTAGATATGTGGCATTATTTCTGAGGGCTCTGTTCTGTTCCATTGATCTATATCTCTGTTTTTGTACCAGTACCATGCTGTTTTGGTTACTGTAGTCTTGTAGTATAGTTTGAAGTCAGGTAGCATGATGCCTCCAGCTTTATTCTTTTGGCTTAGGATTGACTTGGCGATGCGTGCTCTTTTTTGGTTCCATATGAACTTTAAAGTAGTTTTTTCCAATTCTGTGAAGAAAGGCATTGGTAGCTTTATGGGGATGGCATTGAATCTATAAATTACCTTGGGCAGTATGGCCATTTTCACAATATTGATTCTTCCTACCCATGAGCATGGAATGTTCTTCCATTTGTTTGTATCCTCTTTTATTTCATTGAGCAGTGGTTTGTAGTTCTCCTTGAAGAGGGCCTTCACGTCCCTTGTAAGTTGGATTCCTAGGTATTTTATTCTCTTTGAAGCAATTGTGAATGGGAATTCACTTATGATCTGGGTCTCTGTTTGTCTGTTATTGGTGTATAAAAATGCTTGTGATTTTTGTACATTGATTTTGTATCCTGAGACTTTGCTGAAGTTGCTTATCAGCTTAAGGAGATTTTGGGCTGAGACAATGGAGTTTTCTAGATATACAATCATGTCATCTGCAAACAGGGACAATTTGACTTCCTCTTTTCCTAATTGAATACACTTTATTTCCTTCTCCTGCCTAATTGCCCTAGCCAGAACTTCCAACACTATGTTGAATAGGAGTGGTGAGAGAGGGCATCCCTGTCTTGTGCCAGTTTTCAAAGGGAATGCTTCCAGTTTTTGCCCATTCAGTATGATATTGGCCATGGGTTTGTCATAGATAGCTCTAATTATTTTGAGATACGTCCCATCAATACCTAATTTATTGAGAGTTTTTAGCATGAAGTGTTGTTGAATTTTGTCAAAGGCCTTTTCTGCATCTATTGAGATAATCATGTGGTTTTTGTCTTTGGTTCTGTTTATATGCTGGATTACATTTACTGATTTGCATATATTGAACCAGCCTTGCATCCCAGGGATGAAGCCCACTTGATCATGGTGGATAAGCTTTTTGATGTGCTGCTGGATTCGGTTTGCCAGTATTTTATTGAGATTTTTGCATCAATGTTCATCAAGGATATTGGTCTAAAATTCTTTTTTTTGGTTGTGTCTCTGTCAGGCTTTGGTATCAGGATGATGCTGGCCTCATAAAATGAGTTGGGGAGGATTCCCTCTTTTTCTATTGATTGGAATAGTTTCACAAGGAATGGTACCAATTCCTCCTTGTACCTCTGGTAGAATTCGGCTGTGAATCCATCTGGTCCTGGACTCTGTTTGGTTGGTAAGCTATTGATTATTGCCACAATTTCAGAGCCTGTTATTGGTCTATTCAGAGATTCAACTTCTTCCTGGTTTAGTCTTGGGAGGGTGTATGTATGGAGGAATTTATCCATTTCTTCTAGATTTTCTAGTTTATTTTCATAGAGGTGTTTGTAGTATTCTCTGATGGTAGTTTGGATTTCTGTGGGATCGGTGGTGATATCCCCTTTATCATTTTTTATTGCGTCTATTTGATTCTTCTCTCTTTTCTTCTTTATTAGTCTTGCTAGTGGTCTATCAATTTTGTTGATCCTTTCAAAAAACCAGCTCCTGGATTCATTAATTTTTTGAAGGGTTTTATGTGTCTCTATTTCCTTCAGTTCTGCTCTGATTTTAGTTATTTCTTGCCTTCTGCTAGCTTTTGAATGTGTTTGCTCTTGCTTTTCCAGTTCTTTTAACTGTGATGTTAGGGTGTCAATTTTGGATCTTTCCTGCTTTCTCTTGTGGGCATTTAGAATTTCCCTCTACACACTGCTTTAAATGTGTCCCAGAGATTCTGGTATGTTGTGTCTTTGTTCTCATTGGTTTCAAAGAACATCTTTATTTCTGCCTTCATTTCGTTATGTACCCAGTAGTCATTCAGGAGCAGGTTGTTCAGTTTCCATGTAGTTGAGCGGTTTTGAGTGAGTTTCTTAATCCTGAGTTCTAGTTTGATTGCACTTTGGTCTGAGAGACAGTTTGTTATAATTTCTGTTCTTTTACATTTGCTGAGGAGACCTTTACTTCCAACTATGTGGTCAATTTTGGAAGAGTTGTGGTGTGGTGCTGAAAACAATGTATATTCTGTTGATTTGGGGTGGAGAGTTCTGTAGATGTCTATTAGGTCCACTTGGTGCAGAGCTGAGTTCAATTCCTGGGTATCCTTGTTAACTTTCTGTCTCATTGATCTGTCTAATGTTGACAGTGGGGTGTTAAAGCCTCCCATTATTATTGTGTGGGAGTCTGAGTCTCTTTGTAGGTCACTCAGGACTTGCTTTATGAAACTGGGTGCTCCTGTATTGGGTGCATACATATTTAGGATAGTTAGCTCTTCTTGTTGAATTGATCCCTTTACCATTATGTAATGGCCTTCTTTGTCTCTTTTGATCTTTGTTGGTTTAAAGTCTGTTTTATCAGAGACTAGGATTGCAACCCCTGCCTTTTTTTGTTTTCCATTTGCTTGGTAGATCTTCCTCCATCCTTTTATTTTGAGCCTATGTGTGTCTCTGCACATGAGATGGGTTTCCTGAATACAGCACACTAATGGGTCTTGACTCTTTATCTAATTTGCCAGTCTGTGTCTTTTAATTGGAGCATTTAGTCCATTTACATTTAAAGTTAATATTGTTATGTGTGAATTTGATCCTGTTATTTTGATGTTAGCTGGTTATTTTGCTCGTTAGTTGATGCAGTTTCTTCCTAGCCTCGATGGTCTTTACAATTTGGCATGATTTTGCAGTGGCTGGTACCGGTTGTTCCTTTCCATGTTTAGTGTTTCCTTCAGGAGCTCTTTTAGAGAAGGCCTGGTGGTGACAAAATCTCTCAGCATTTGCTTGTCTGTAAAGTATTTTATTTCTCCTTCACTTATGAAGCTTAGTTTGCCTGGATATGAAATTCTGGGTTGAAATTTCTTTTCTTTAAGAATGTTGAATATTGGCCCCCACTCTCTTCTGGCTTGTAGAGTTTCTGCCGAGAGATCCGCTGTTAGTCTGATGGGCTTCCCTTTGTGGGTAACCCGACCTTTCTCTCTGGCTGCCCTTAACATTTTTTCCTTCATTTCAACTTTGGTGAATCTGACAATTATGTGTCTTGGAGTTGCTCTTCTCGAGGAGTATCTTTGTGGCATTCTCTATATTTCCTGAATCTGAATGTTGGTCTGCCTTGCTAGATTGGGGAAGTTCTCCTGAATAATGTCCTGCAGAGTTTTTTCCAACTTGGTTCCATTCTCCCCGTCACTTTCAGGTACACCAATCAGACGTAGATTTGGTCTTTTCACATAGTCTCATATTTCTTGGAGGCTTTGTTCGTTTTTTTTTATTCTTTTTTCTCTAAACTTCCCTTCTCACTTCATTTCATTCATTTCATCTTCCATCGCTGATACCCTTTCTTCCAGTTGATCGCATCGGCTCCTGAGGCTTCTGCATTCTTCACATAGTTCTCGAGCCTTGGCTTTCAGCTCCATCAGCTCCTTTAAGCACTTCTCTGTATTGGTTATTCTAGTTATACATTCGTCTAAATTTTTTTCAAAGTTTTCAACTTATTTGCCTTTGGTTTGAATTTCCTCCTGTAGCTCGGAGTAGTTTGATCATCTGAAGCCTTCTCTCAGCTCGTCAAAGTCATTCTCTGTCCAGCTTTGTTCCGTTGCTGGTGAGGAACTGCGTTCCTTTGGAGGAGGAGAGGTGCTCTGCTTTTTAGAGTTTCCAGTTTTTCTGCTCTATTTTTTCCCCATCTTTGTGGTTTTATCTACTTTTGGTCTTTGATGATGGTGACATACAGATGGGTTTTTGGTGTGGATGTCCTTTCTGTTTGTTAGTTTTCCTTCTAACAAACAGGACCCTCAGCTTCAGGTCTGTTGGAGTTTGCTAGAGGTCCACTCCAGACCCTGTTTGCCTGGGTATCAGCAGCGGTGGCTGCAGAACCACGGATTTTCGTGAACCGCGAATGCTGCTGTCTGATCATTCCTCTGGAAGTTTTGTCTCAGAGGAGTACCCGGCCGTGTGAGGTGTCAGTCTGCCCCTACTGGGGGGTGCCTCCCAGTTAGGCTGCTCGGGAGTCAGGGGTCAGGGATACACTTGAGGAGGCAGTCTGCCCATTCTCAGATCTCCAGCTGCATGCTGGGAGAACCACTGCTCTCTTCAAAGCTGTCAGACAGGGACATTTAAGTCTGCAGAGGTTACTGCTGTCTTTTTGTTTGTCTGTGCCCTGCCCCCAGAAGTGGAGCCTACAGAGGCAGGCAGGCCTCCTTGAGCTGTGGTGGGCTCCACCCAGTTGGAGCTTCCGGGCTGCTTTGTTTACCTAAGGAAGCCTGGGCAATGGCGGGCGCCCCTCCCCCAGCCTCGCTGCCACCTTGCAGATTGATCTCAGACTGCTGTGCTAGCAATCAGCGAGACTCCGTGGGCATAGGACCTTCCGAGCCAGGTGCAGGATATAATCTCCTGGTGTGCTGTTTTTTAAGCTCATCGGAAAAGCGCAGTATTAGGGTGGGAGTGACCCGATTTTCCAGGTGCCTTCTGTCACCCCTTTCTTTGACTAGGAAAGGGAACTCCCTGACCCCTTGCGCTTCCCGAGTGAGGCAATGCCTTGCCCTGCTTCACCTCGCGCACGGTGCGCTGCAACCACTGTCCTGCGCCCACTGTCTGGCACTCCCTAGTGAGATGAACCCGGTACCTCAGATGGAAATGCAGAAATCACCCGTCTTCTGCGTCGCTCACGCTGGGAGCTGTAGACCGGAGCTGTTCCTATTCGGCCATCTTGGCTGCTTCCCCAGTGTTTTCTTTTTAGTCGGGATCTCCCTTCCGTCGCCGGGGCTAGAGTGCAGTGGCAGGATCTCCACTTACTGCAGCCTCAAATTCCTGAGCTCAGGTGATTCTCCCATCTCAGCCTCCCAAGTAGCTGGGACTACAGGCATGTGTTAGCACACATGGATTTTTTTTGTATTTTAGTAGTAAAGAGGTTTCGCTGTGCTGCCCATGCTGGTCTCAAACTCTTGGGTGCAAATGATCCACCTGCCACGGCTTCCCAAATTGCTGAGATTACAGGTGTGATTCACCACGCCTGGCCTCCTGGCAGTACTTTAACAGGCCCAGTCTCACTATCTAAGTACAGAATTTAACGTGCTAGTTTGGCCATGGAAACCTAAACGTCCATGTTTACTAAACCAATTGCACGTGTCTATGTTTCCCTGCTTCCTGTTTTACCTTCCAATTTTCAGATGGGATTGGAGGGAAAAAACGGAATTGATTACCTGGTTATTGAACATCTCCCATACGCTCACTTTAGAAACTTTATTGTGCTAACCTTCATGGCAATTCTACAAGAATGATACAAATACCCCCAAGTTACAGATGTGGAAACAAATTCAAATAATTTATCACTTGTCTCAGGGTCTGTGTACAGTTAATGAGATAATCACTGGCTGCATTCTTACTACAAAGAGAACCAAATAATGAGGTTGCCTAACCATGAGTATCATCATTGATCACATGATTTTTTCTGCAGAATGTTTCCCTCCAGATCAGGACTTTTGGCGTCCTAAAGTTAGTCGAAATTAATCAAATTCCTTCTTGCGCATTTGAATGTGCCCTACTGGCAACTCTTCTTTGAGGATCATACCTTCACCCAAAATGCAATGAGGCCCCCAACTCTGGCCTCACCTATTCCTGGTATTTATTCCGCTCTCAAGTGGCCTCCATTTCACTCTCAATGTGCTTTACTTATGAGTCCTCATGATAAGCCAAGTGATGAGCTTTTAGCAGCTTGGTTTCAGTGTTATCAACAAGGCTACTTCTGTGATTACAAATGCAATTTGTTTTGCTTGGGTGCTAGACGTTGCTAGAAGACTCATGCATAGGCTGATGAGTCATAATCCAAAACTCTATGTAAACAAATGATTCATATGATAGAAGTATATTCACCCTTGATTTCTTCCTTATATTTGAAAACTGAAACTCCATATTTTATTCATTTGATTTATTATTATGTTGAATAGTGCTTAAATTCTATAATTTATTTTCCAAAGCCTAATAACTGGTAGATATAAAAGGCATAGTTAGCAACTTTTTTTCTAAGTTGGTTGCCAATATTTTGTAGTCCAAGAGCTCCAGAAGAATGGTTCCCATCTGTCGTGCTGTGTATTCATCTGCTGTGGGAGCTCATAAGCCTTTTATCTATGGACATGACACCCATCTGCTCTGTTGCTAAGATTCATTAACATGCCATGAGAATCGTGGGATGTCAGGTCACACCTGGGATACATGTTTGCTGAGGAGCCATTATGTATAAATATAAGAATAGAGGACAGTGTACGATTGGACAAACAGCATGGACTTTAGAATCAGAATATTTATGTTTAAATCCCCCTATCAAACACTTGCAAACTGTGCAACTTTAGGCACATTATTTAACCTCTCTGAGCCTCAGTTTCCTCAACTGAGGCATTAATGGCTATACATCAATAAAGCTGCTATAAGGACTGAATAAATTGAAATTATTACTTTAGAGCACTTAATATAATGCCGTTAGTAATCAAAAATAAAAGTTACTAATGATTAAAAGCAAAGTACTCAAACGGCTAAAGGTCAATGACAATGACAAAATCTTAGGACTCTGGGCAGAGAACAATGTTGAATATTTTCCATATGTCTAAAAATAAAACCCTGCACTTACAAATAATGTTATCACATCAGGGTATGTTGATTTTTTTATATTTAGTCTTTCTACTGTCTGAAGAGTTACCTCTAAACTTGTCTTGGCATTTAAGGCCTTCAACAACATAATTCTTGAAGATGAAAATATCTCTCAAAAGTTCCCAGATTAAGCTTTGAAATAATTCTTACCTCAAATCTTTCCATGATAATAGTTAGCTTATGTTTCTAAAGAACATACACATTTTCCATACAACTTAAAGAAATCATACCAAAGAAACACATTCTGAACTTCAAGCCAAAAGATAAGTGTGTTGGGTTTTGAGGAAAACATTAAACTATGAAGTGTGTGATTCAAAAACATTTTTTTAAAGTGTGAGTATCTTAAAAGTATCAAAAATATCACCTGTTGTGAAACTGTAGCTGACAAGTAAAGGAAGTTAATGGTATGTGCACCTTGGAAAACTTTGTATTATTTTGTGACCCCAGTGAATTTTTTTCAAGATACTTACATTGCTAATAAAAGGCATTCCAGGCCAGGTGCGGTGGCTCACGCCTGTAATCCAAGCACTTTGGGAGGCCGAGGCGGGTGGATCACCTAATGTCGGCAGTTTGCGACCAGCCTGACCAACATGGAGAAACCCGGTCTCTACTAAAAATACAAAATTAGCCAGGCATGGTGGCACACGCCTGTAGTCCCAGCTATTCGGGAGGCTGAGGCAGGAGAATTGCTTGAAACCGGGAGGTGGAGGTTGCAGTGAACCGAGATAGTGCCATTGCACTCCAGCCTGCGCACCAATAGCAAAACTCCGTCTCAAAAAATAAAATAAAATAATAAATAAATAAGTAAATAAATAAGAGAGCATTCCAAGGGTCAAGCACTGTGACTCACGTCTGTAATCCCAGCACTTTGGGAAGCCAAGGTGGGTGGATTACTTGAGGCTAGTAGTTTGAGACCAGCCTGGTCAACAGGGTGAAACCCCATCTCTACTAAAAATACAAATATTAGTGGAGTGTGGTGGTGTGCACATGCAATGTCAGCTACTTGGGAGGCTAATGTACAAGAATTGCTTGAGCCTGGGAGGTGAAGGTTGCAGTGAGCTGAGATTGCACCACTGCACTCCAGCTTGGGTGACAAAGCAAGACTCTGCCTCAGGAAAAAAAAAAAAAAAAAAAAGCATTGCAAGTGGCCCCACCACATAGACACAAATTGAAATCAATACAAAAATATTGCCCAAGCATAGTCTAACATTTAATGAATCAATTATGCATAGTCTAGAAAGGTAGTTTTCCTTGGAAAATAAGTAAAGACACTAGTGTTGACCTTTAACCTGAGCATCTAAATCTTCCTTTGGGGTGCTTTGTTTATAAACAAAACAAAACAAAAACTCAAATCGGTGTGTGACTCATTCTGTCATAAATTATAGACCATTTGGAATATGAAAGAATTATGTAAGAGATAATTTTATTTTATGAAAACTGATTAGCCAAATTCCTGTGGATTCTTAATTGTGCTGTGGTAAAATATAAGATTAATGTAGCAGTTCCTTCATCTAGTAAATTTACTGCTAACATATTGAATTAGTGATCCTGTTAGCACTATTCCAGGATTAGGTCATTCATCAACACTGCTAATTCTCACATTCCATCACTCTTAGTTTTTCTCAACCTACAGAAAGATTTTCATTAAAGATTATCATAGCAGTTTACTGATATGGTTTGGCTCTGTGTCCTCACCAAAATCCCATGTTGAATTGTAATTCCCAATGTTGAGGGAGGGACCTGGTAGGAAGTAATTGGATCATGGTGGCGGGTTTCCCTCTTGTTGTTCTCATGATAGTGAGTGAGTTGTGAGGCTACCTGGTTGTTCGTAAGTGTGGAGGACTTGCCCCTTCACTCTCTTCCTCCTGCTCCCACCATGTGAAGATGTGCTGGCTTCTCGTTCACTTTCTGCCATGATTGTAAATTTCCTGAGGCCTCCCCAGAAGCAGAAGCCTGTACAGCCCACAGAATCATGAGACGATTAAACCTCTTTTCTTTATAAATTACCCAGCCTCAGGTATGTCTTTATAGCAGTATGAGAATAAACTCATACAGAAAATTGGTACCAGAGAAGTGGGGCATTGCTATACAGTTATCTGAAAATGCAGAAGTGACTTTGGAACTGAGTAACTGGCAGAGGTTGAAACAGTTTGAAGGGCTCGGAAGAAGACAGGAAGATGAGGGAAAGTTTGGAACTTCCTAGAGACTTGTTAAATTGTTGTGGCCAAAATGTGGATAGTTATATGAACAATGAAGTCCAGGCTGAGGTGGTCTCAGATGAAGATGAGGAACTTACTGGGAAATGGAATAAAGGTCACTCTTGCTATGCTTTGGCAAAGAGACTGGCAGCATTGTGCCGCTGCTCAAGGGATCTGTTGAACTTTGAACTTAAGAGAGATGATTTAGGGTATCTGGTGGAAGAAATTTCTAAGCAGCATAGTGTTCAAGGTGTGACCAGGCTGCTTCTAAGAGCCTATATTCACTTGCATAAACAAAGAAATGACCTGAAACTGTAACTTATATTTTAAAATGGAAGTAGAGCATAAAAGTTTGAAAAATTTGCAGCCCAGCCATGTGGTAGAAAAGAAAAGCCCATTTTCGGGGGCCGGGCACAGTTGCTCATGCCTGTAATCCCAGCACTTTGGGAGGCTGAGGCAGGTGGATCACAAGGTCAGGAGATCAGGACCATCCTGGCTAACACAGTGAAACCCCGTCTCTATTAAAAATACAAAAAAATTAGCCAGGCATGGTGGTGGGTGCCTGCAGTCCCAGCTACTCGGGAGACTGAGGCAGGAGAATGGTATGAACCTGGGAAGCGGAGCTTGCAGTGAGCTGAGATCGCACCACTGTACTACAGCCTGGGTGACAGAGTGAGATTCTGTCTCAAAAAAAAAAAAAAAAAAAAAAAAAAGCCCATTTTCTGTGGAGGAATTCAAGCTGGTTGCACAAATTTGCATATGTAAAGAGGAGCCAAATGTTGACAGCCAATATAAAGGAGAAAATGCCTCGAAGGCATTTCAGCGACCTTCATGGAAGTCCCTCTCATCACAGACCTGAAGGCCTGGGAGAGAAAAATCGTTTCATGAGCCATGCCCAGGACCCTGCTGCTCTGTGCAGCCTTAGGACATGGCACCCTGTGTCCCAGCTGTTCCAGCTCCAGTTGTGGCTAAAAAGGGCCAAGGTACAGCTTGAACCCTTGCTTCAGCAGGTGCAAGCCCCAAGCCTTGGCAGCTTCCACATGGTATTGAGCCTGCAGTTACACAGAGGGCAAGAGGTGAGGCTTGGGAGCCTCCGCCTAGGTTTCAGAGGATGTATGGAAAAACCTCAATGTCCAGGCAGATATCTGCTGCATGTGATGAAGCCCTCATGGAGAACCTCTACTAGGGCAGTACAGAGGGGATATGTGGGGTTGGAGCCCTCACACACAGTCCCCACTGGGGTACTGCCTAGTGAAGCTGTGAGAAGAGGGCCACTGTTTTCCAGACCCCAGAATGGCAGATCCACTGAAAGTTTGCCCTGTGCACCTAGAAAAGCCACAGGCACTCAATGCCAGCCCATGAAAACAGCCAAAAAGGCTGTACGCTGCAAAGCTGCAGGAGTGGGGATGCCCAAGGACTTGGGAGCCCATCCCTTGCATCAGTGTGGCCTGGATGTAAGACATGGTATAAAGGTAATTATTTTGCAGCTTTAGAATGTAATAACTGCCCTGCTGGGTTTTGGACTTGCGTAGGGCCTGTAGCCAATTTGTTTTTGCCATTTTCTCTCTTTTGGAGTAGGAGGATTTACCCAATGCCTGTACCCTCGTTGTATCTCGGACATGCAAACTTTTTAAAAAAATTTTACGGATTAATAGTCAGAAGGGACTTGCCTTATCTCAGATGAGAGTTTGGACTTCGAATTTTTAGTTAATAGCTAGAATGAGTTAAAACTTTAGGGGCCTGCTGGGAAGGCATAATTGTGTTTTGAAATCTGAGAAAGACATGAGATTTGGGAGGGGTTGGTGGAGGAGTGATATGGTTTGGCTCTGTGTGCTCACCCAAATCTCATGTTTAATTGTAATCCCCAGTGTTGTGGGAGGGACCTGGTAGAAGGTGATTGAATCATGGGAACAGACTTCCCCCTTGCTGTTCTTATGATAGTGAGTGAGTTCTCACGAGACCTGGTTGTTTGAAAGTGCATAGGACTTCCTTCTTCACTCCCTCTCCCTAATGCTTCCACCATGTAAGATGGACTGGCTTACCCTTCACCTTCTGCCATGATTGTAAGTTTCTTGAGGCTTCCACAGCCATGCCTCCTATACAGCCTGCAGAACTGTGAGTCAATTAAACCTTTTTTCTTTATTAATTACCCAATCTCAGGTAGTTCTTTATAACAGTGTGAGAAGAGACTAGTATATTTACCATTTCTAAAAATTGCATTTTCGGGGATATTTCAACACCTTATATTCTGTGTGGTCTGTGTATCTTATTGTTTATTTCTTTTCACTCCAGCATCATAAAGGATCATCTTACTTTATCATATGCAAATATATGCAGGTGTTCTTCTAGCTGAATAGAAAACTATACTCTTCTAACACCAGAAAGAGCCTCCTTTAAAAAAAATTGTATATATATATATATATATATATATATATTAGTTTCAGGGACCACCTTCGGTTGTTTCTTTACATTCTTAGTGAGAAACTGTAATATAGTAATAAGAAAATGAGCTTTGAAGCCAGACAAAGGGAGTTTGAATCCTGTCTTTGGTACTTACTAGCATCTTTCTGTTCCCCAATTTCCTCATCTATAAAATACAGAAAATAATAATAATAGTTTTAATAACAGTCACAGGTTTGTAATGAAAATTACATGAGTTAATGTTTTAAATGCTTAGGAGACTGCCTAATATATAGTAAATTTATATAAAATTTTTAAAGAAAAGTTTTTTTTTTTTTTTTTTTTTTTTTAGATGGAGTCTCACTCTATCACCCAGGCTGGAGTGCATTGGTACAATCTCAGCTCACTGCAACCTCTGCCACCCGGGTTCAAGTGATTCTCCTGCCTCAGCCTGCTGAGTAGCTGGGATTGCAGGCACCTGCCACCGCACCCAGCTAATTTTTGTATTTTTAATAGAGACGGGGTTTCACCACCTTGGCCAGGTTGGTCTTGAACTCCTGATCTCGTGATCCACCTGCCTCGGCCTCCCAAAGTGCTAGGATTATAGGGGTGAGCCACCACCCCCAGCCAAGAAATAAGTTTTATGACCACATTTAGCTTCCATCATTTTTTCAAAGTGATCATTCTTTCTAATGTCTTTATTTATCTTGTATCACTTTACATTGCACTATTTTATGTCCTTTTTTGCCAGAAGTCAGTTATGTTTTTTGTAGGAGACATGAGTCATAAGCTGTGACCATTGATATTTGGAAAATTAAAGTCAAACAATAAGTCCATTCCCCACTCCCATATATTCTACAGCAGTTGTCTAGTGCTATTATTCCAAGCTACTTATTTCTCAGTAAAAATAAGACATGATTACAAAATATTGTATTTAATGAAGTACAGTGGTAGCCAAGATATTGTCTAAATTCATAATTAGAATGGCATCTTAGTAGAATAATTTTTTTACAAGCAGGGCAATTGCCATTCAATGTCATAGAAAAGCATGAAAAAGCACCAATAAGTAGACCCCAGTTTTATTTTGTTTCAGTTTTTTTACAGAACATCATTCAGTTTTAGGCTTGCTAACTCATGGAGCATTATAATTGCCATGAATCAGGGGAAGGGAAGGTGAAGGGTGAATTTACTGTGGAAGGGGAAACGATCAAATCATATAAAATGCCACATTACAAAAAAATAAGAATTCCATGCTAACTCACATATACATATGGCATGTGCAAAGCTGATCGACTGCCATTTTTTGAGTACCTCTCTACTTCCTCTAAGTATTGCACAGCTGCTAGCATATTTGCTGCAGTGAATGTTTTTGGTCCCATTGGCCCCTAGAAATTGAAAATGTTTTCAGGGTGGTTTGATTTAACTTCTGAAGTTGATTAAAACTAACATTAATTTTTGAAAACCTAATTTAGGACTTCAGTATATTTACTCCAGTTATGTATCAAAATATTTTTAAAGATACTCACAAAAAATGATAATTATCCTAATAAGGAAATGGACATTCTCATTTGATTTTCTTTACTCAAAGAAAATTGACCTATGATTTCACAATTCCACATTAATTAGTTGAATAGTTGGCTTTTCAGCTAGGATCCACTCTGTTTTATGGGACAGTATTGTAGCATTTGCCAATTAAAACAAAAACAGAAACAAAAACCACCAGGCGTGGTGGCTCACACCTATAATCCCAGCACTTTAGGAGGCCGAGGCAGATGGGTAACCTGAGGTCAGGAGTTCAAGACCAGCCTGGCCAACATGGTAAAACACTGTCTCTACTATAAATACAAAAATTAGCCAGGCACGATGGTGGTCACCTGTAATCCCAGCTACTTGGGAGGCTGAGGCAGGAGAATCACTTGAACTCAGGGGGCAGAGGTTACAGTGAGCCGAGACAGTGGCCTTGCCCTCTAACCTGGGCAACAAGAGCAAAACTCCATCTCAAAAAAAAATAAAATTAAATTAAAAATTTTTTAAAAAGTCACTATCTGTATCATGAATGTTAATTAATTGGCATCTAAATTGTTGAATGTGGCATTATCAAAGTATTTAAAGATTTCAGTGGAGGAACAGAAATAATTTAACCTCTAAATTGCACTCTAGTTCCACTAGGCTCTATTTTCAGAATATTGCTTTTAAAATTCCCCAAATTAAGTAATGAATATCTTGTTAAAAATAAGATATTTCATAAGAAACCATAAAAGTTTATTCATGAAATAAGTATTTTATTTAAGCTTTTCAGGGGTAAGCACAATGTTCCTTAAAAACAAGATTGAAAAGTCCTTATCCGTACATACTTTGCCTGTAATAATACCATATACAAAATGTAACCCATCAGTCTATGGTCTATCTTAAATTGCAGTTGAAGCCTCAGGCAATCAAGGCTGTCAGATAACTTTAAAAAGATCTTCAAGAAAAAAGTACTCCCTGTGTAAGAAATAATTGTGTCAATAACAAGATTTTATCTTTGTTAACAGACAAAAGAATTGGTAATTGGTAAATCAGTAGAGTTAATTATATGGGACTCCATTTACAGGAATACAGTCAGAAATAACTACTTGGTTAGATAAAAGATCATTGATTTATGCCTAGGTGCAGTAGCTCATGCCTGTAATCTCAGCATTTTGGGAAGCTGAGGCAGGTGGATCACCTGAGGTCAGGAGTTCAAGCCCAGCCTGGCCAACATGGTGAAACACCGTCGCTACTAAAAATACAATGATTAGCTGGACATGGTGGCAGGCACCTGTAATCCCAGCTACTTGGGAGGCTGAGGCAGGAGAATCGCTTGAACATGGGAGGCAGAGGTTGCAGTGAGCTGAGATCATTCCATTGCACTCTAGCCTGGGCGACAAGAGCAAAACTCAGTCTCAAAAAAAAAAAAAAAAAAAACATTGATTTAGCATCTTCTTATTCATCGAGGAAAAGTGTTATATTATAATGTCTAATTCCATCTGACTTCTATTTATCCCAGTGATACCTGATGTCATACTGGTAGGTTAAATTTTATAATCTTAAGGTGCTTATTTGAAATTGTGTGCTTTTCTTCAACACTTCTATTCTGAGGACGACTGCAACGGTTTCTTAATCAAACATTCAATAAACTAGTAGTATAATTCTGAGATGCCTCTTGGATACAGGTGTAGGTGGGATTATTATATTATGTTTGCTTTGTATTCTACATTCTCACCAATTTTCTTGAGACTGAATCAGCAGGGCATGACTCGAAAGTCATAGTAAAACCACTTTTGCAAAAATTATAACTAAGAAAATTATTACAGTGAAAGAGATTGGACCTAACTGACCCCATTTTGCTTCCAACTGCCAAGCTGTCCTTGTTCATTCCTGGGTGTAGGCTGAACTGTTGGAGGAACTTAGTTTATGGTTTAACTTTAAAACAAAGACGATAATAGCCTGACATGGTTTGACTCTGTGTCCCTACCCAACTCTCACTTTGAATTGTAATAATCCCCATGTGTCAAGGGTGGGACCAAGTGGAAATAATTGAATCATGGGGGCAGTTTACCCCATGCTGTTCTCATGATATTAAATTATCATGAGATCTGATGGTTTTATAAGGGGAATCCTCCTTCGCTCAGCACTCACTTTGTCTCCTGCCACCAGGTGGCTTCCACCATGATTATAAGTTTCCTGAGGCCCCCTTCCCAGCCATGGGGAAATGTGAGTCAATTAAAACCCTTCGCTTTATAAATTACCCAGTCTCGGGTATTTCTTCATAGCAGCGTGAGAACGGACTAATACCGTAAATTGGTACTGAGGTAGTGGGGTGCTGATATAAGGATACCCTAAAATGTGGAAGCGACTTTGGAACTGGGTAACAGGCAGAGGTTGGAACAGTTTCAACAGTTCAGATGAAGACAGAAAAATGTGGGAAAGTTTGGAACTTACTAGAGACTTGTTGAATGGCTTTGAACAAATTGCTGATAGTGACATGGACAATGAAGTACAGGCTGAGGTGGTCTCAGATGGAGATGAGGAACTTGTTGGAAACTGGAGTAAAGGTCACTCTTGCTATGTTTTAGCAAAAAGGATGGTGGCATTTTGCCCCTGCCCTAGAGATCTATGGAACTTTGAACTTCAGAGAGATGATTTATGGTGTCTGGCAGAAGAAATTTCTAAGTGGCAAAGAGTTCAAAAGGAAGCAGAGCATAAAATTTTGGAAAATTTAAGCCTGACGATATGATAGAAAAGAAAAATTCATTTTCTGGGAGAAATTCAAGCCTGCTGCAGAAATTTGCATAAGTAATGAGGAGCCAAATGTTAATCACCAAGACAATGGGAAAAATGTCTCCAGGACATGTTAGAGACCTTCCTGGCAGCCCCTGCCATCACAGAACCAAGACCTAGGAGGGAAAAATGATTTTATGGGCTGGGCCAGGGCCTTCTTACTCTGTGCAGCCTCAGGACATGGTGACCTGTGTCACAGGTGCTTCAGTTCCAGTCATGGCTAAAAGGACCCAAAATATAGCACAGGTCATTGCTTCAGAGGGTGCAAGCCCCAAGCCTTGGTGGCTTACATGTGGTGTTGGGGCTGCAGGTGATAACATCTCTATTGTAAAACCTAAGATCAGTGCTTGAGGTATTTTCCAGACCCTGCACTTGATGGATCAACTGGTACCACCCGGATTGGTAAACTGGCTTATCTGATCTTGTGACCCCCACTTAGGAAGTGACTCAGCAAAAGAAGACAGCTTCAGCACTCCCTATGATTTCATCTCTGACCCAATCAATCAGCACTCTCCACTTTCTGACCACCTACCCACCAAATTATCCTTAAAAACTTCCATCCTCTCCTGAGTTTTAGAGTAATAACAAAACTAGTCTCCTGTACAGTTGGCTCTGTGTGAATTAAACTCTTTGTCTATTGTAATTCTCCTGTCTTGATAAATTGGCTCTGTCTAGGCAGCAGGAAAGGAGAACCCATTGGGAGGTTACGATAGTTTCAAACGTGGCAAAACTTCACTAATTCAGGCTGGAATAACTTAAAACTTGTGACAATTTGGACAGAATTCTGGGTTGGGATTTACCTTTATAATATTAATCATATCTTCTCACAGTGCATGAATCAATTCTGAAACTCTTTGCAAACAGCGTAAATTAACTCTGTGAAATACTGTAGGATGTTATAATTGCAGAATGCATGGCTTCCATGAATTTCAGATGCACATATACATTAAATAATTAACATGATCCTCCTTCCATTCCATTTGGGTTATTTATCTAATAGTCTAGATTCATATTTATGTATTTACATTATTTGAATTTATTTATCCTATAACAAATAAAAGACATTTGAAAATAACTAGGTAGAAGGCAATTTATGGATATTAATTTGATACCAGAGGAGTCAGATTTAGGACTTTATTAACAACAGTATAATAACCAGTTATAGAATACCAAATATTAATGTCTGGACATTGGCCTTCTAACCCCCCTTCTTTTTTTTGAGACAGAGTCTTGCTTTGTTGCCCAGGCTGGAGTGCAGTGGTGCGATCTCAGCTCACTGCAAGCTCTGCCTCCTGGGTTCATGCCATTCTCCTGCCTCAGCCTCCTGGGTAGCTGGGACTACAGGTGCCTGCCACCATGCCCGGCTAATTTTTTTTGTATTTTTTGTAGAGGCGGGGTTTCACTGTGTTAGCCAGGATGGTCTCGATCTCTTGACCTCGTGATCCACACTCCTCGGCCTTCCAAACTGCTGGGATTACAGGCGTGAGCCACCGCACCCAGCCAACCCCATTTTTTTAAGTCCTCTTAAAATCTATACTAGGAAAACAAATTAGAATTGAATTTTTGGTCACATTTTTGAGCTGTCCTGACCAAAATAAGTAAAAGTGGTTGCTTTACAAATACACCTTATAACTTGATTTTTAAAAACAAATTCAGACGGGTTTTGTTAGAGTAGGTAGCTATACAGACATGAGCAGGGCAGAAGATGCTTCTCCCCCAGGAATGTCAGGTGACCATCAGGTGATGGTCAGGCTGTCATTAAACTGTCTCTCTAAAATAATAATCAGTTGCAGCAGAGGCAAGGAAAGGGAGACTCCCAAAAGACAGAAAACACCTGAAGCTGGTGATCAGCAGCTTCCCAATAAGATCTCAGGAGTTGGGTGGGTGAGCTCAAACATGTACAGTAAGAGGCAAAATGGTAGAATTTAACTGGTATATGACCTTCCTCTAGGAACACTCAACTGGTAAGGGAAAAATGCCTCAAATGAGCATGCACACAACTTCAGTAAACACACTGCACATGTGGCCCCTCTCAAGTGCTAGCAGGCCACTGTGCAGGTGGAGAGCCCATCCCAACAAAAAATCAAGGAAGAAGACACACAAACCTTGGAATCATGCCAATGTATAAAAACCTCAAGTCAAGGGTCAAACAGGGTACTTGGATTTCTCAAATTGCCCACTTGGCCCTCTACCAAGTGCACTTTGCTTCCTGTTATTCCTGCTCTGAAACTTTTTAATAAACTGTCACTCCTGCTCTAAAACTTGCATTGGTCTCTCACTCAACCTTATGTTCCTCAGTTGAATTCTTCCCTCCAAGGGAAGAGTTTGCTGCAGACCTACCATATTTACTGCTGCTAACATTATCCCCCAGATTTGTTTCAGTGAAGTTTTACTAAAATTTGCCTAATTAACATAAAAAGCAAATTATGCTATATTATGCTAAAACTTAAATTTAAGTCATATTATAAAACAGCAGTTTTACTTTTTTCAATCCATGATTACAAAAGTACACTTAAACATCAGCAGAATAAACATTTAGAAGATGCTTTTAGAGGAACACTTTTACTTGATCCAACAAGTTAATTTCACTGTTATTATCAAATCACACTAAAAAGATATCTATTTACTGTCATATTTTCAACAGTAAATTTTGAGTCCAGCACAAAATCACCTGAAGAAATGTAAGGGAATACACATTATGCACACTACTTAAGAGTATTCCTTATACATTTATAAAAATCATTTAAAAGGAAGGGGGAGGAAAAATCATAGGGCTTTTGCCATACCTGTGGTTGGGGATGAATCCAGATCTCCATAGTTGTAGACTCTTTCATGGGGGTGCAAGATCGCACAACCTCCTTCATTGGCTTTAGAAGGGAAGAAAATAGAAGTATTTTAAGCTGTTTGTTAAAAGTAAAATACACAGTACATTTCATATAAACATTGCCTATAGGTAGCTAAAATAGTGCCTGGGTAGATTATCTCTTTTTAGACATCATAGTTTATTTATGTAACAAATGGTTATTGAGGGTTAACAATATGCCACACATAGCTCTAGGTACTAGAATTAAAAAAGAGAAAAAAAAGAAAAGAAATTTATTTTCTCATGGAGTTTACATGGAGTGTTACATTTATGTGTTCTATTAAACATGTGAATGAAATTGTGGAGGACTATTTAAATGATGCCTGTAACCCCAGTGCTTTGGGAGGCCAAGGTGGGAGGATCACTTGAGCCCAGCATTTTGGAGGCTGCAGTGAGCTATGATTGTGCCACTGCACTTTAACCTGGGCAGCAGAGCAAGACCTTGTCTCAATAAAATAAAATAAAATAAAATAAAATAAAATAAAATAAAATAAAGATAAAAAATAAAATATTTAAATGGCTGACATTTAAGCTGTAGAAAATTTCTGTCCAATGCTTTTGCAACCTAATGGCTTCAAGGGCTATATATGTGAATATGCTCTTGTTGCAAATTAAAATCAATCTTGTGTGCGCCACCACAACACAAATTTGCTATTTGCCATACAAAGATATTTAATAGATGTAATAAATGCCAAAAGATTTAATAGATGTGATAAGTGCTAAGTGCATTGAGGACGCAGATCCTCAGTGCAAATGATCCTTGTCTTTTCAGGAATTAACAGATTTTACCAAAGATGTTCAGTTGTTACTTATGTAAGGAAGCAATACCAAGTTGGAAGTGATTGAAGAATTATCCTATATCTTGGCTATTGTGATTAGTGCTGCAATAAACATAGAAGTGCAAGTATCTTTTTGATATATCCATTTTCTTTTCTTTCTTTTTTTTGGATATATAACCAGCAGTAGGATTGCTGGATCATATGATAGATCTACTTTCAGTTTTTCCAGGAACATCCTTACTGTTTTCCATAGTGGATGTATTAATTTACATTCCCATCACCAAGGTGCTAGCATTCCCCTTTTTCCACATCCTCTCCATTGTCTGTTATTTTTTGTCTTTTTGTAATAGCCCTTTTACCTGGAATGAGATGCTATTTCACTGTGGTTCTTATTTGCATTTCCCTGAAGATTAGTGATGTTGACTGCTTTGGGGATAAATAACCAGAATATATAAGGAACTCAAACAACTCAATAGAAAAAAAAATTAATTTAAAAATGGGCAAAAGATATGAACAGGCATTTCATAAAAGAAGACATGCAAATGGCCAAAAGGTACATTTAACTTTTTTTTTTAAAAAACCAAGTTTATTTGGGTTGCATTTCACATGCACATTTTAAGCATCTAATTTAAACATTCTCTGTCAACTGTGAGCAGTTCAACGTCTGCTGGGCTGCCCTCTGTCAAATACATAATGCTGTATTCATATGTCCATTTAATTAAGTAGGGATGCTATTTTACTTGGTTAAAAGTATAAGTCTATGTGGATGTATCTTGCACATTTAAATTTGGCAACTAAACATGTCCACTGTATAACATGCTTCAGTATTCAAACATTAGAAAAAATTATTTTGTTTTGTACAAAAATAAGAACTTAAAATAATCCCCCCACCCCTGCCAATATTCTATCACTCCCCACCCTCTCCAAAATTACATAGTTATAAGACTAAGAACCAGGAAATCATCTAATAGAATAACCCCAATATACAGAACTGCTGAGACCTAACTGTAATGCAAGTGAGAGAAATGACACTTGCAGGAAAACTTAGTGCTTAGCTACATTTATGCTTGACTGTTTTAAGAAAATGAACTATGGTTCATCAGTGACACCTGAGAAATAAAATGCAGATCTGTATTTCTCTTTCCTTACATGTACCACATACTGAACCAAACGATCTTTCCTTTTATGGAATTAGATGTCAAACTTTCAAGAAAAGAGTAAAATGCTTTATAAGAATCACAGTCTTTGTAGAGTTAAGCCACATTTTAATTCAGTTCATATTAAGATAGTGCTCAGTGCCAAAAAGTAAGAAGTGTGTTTTAGCAATGATCTTAAAGAGTCTTGAGAAATGTCACTGGCATTATTGCTAATAATAAAAAATAATACTTCTAAGAGAAGGAAGGATAGATATTGGATCTTATTATTATTCCTGAGTTAGAGATTACTTGCTAATCATTTAGACATTGGAAGGGAAGTTGACTTTGTTTAAAATTGCATTAACGCCTTCAAGTACAAATATGTTGTTTCACTAGTGATGCTGTGTAAATAAATAGACATATGTGAGAGAAAAGGGGTACGTTTATATTATTTCCCACCTTTTAGAATCTAGAAATTCTATAGATTAAAAATTATCTGTAATTTTCTTGAATTATTTTATTTATGGAGGAGGTAGGAAGAGGCTAGATCATAAGAAGCATTGATGAAGAGTAAATGCTCAAAATTCTATTAATTCCAATTTTTTTTGTCAAAAAGTAAGAAAATTTTAAGGCAAATTCCAATTCACAGAAGTGAGAATTATTTCTCAAAATATACACAATAATAAAGTTTTTGCAATAAATGGAAAATATATTTTCAGCTTCCAAAGGAAGCTTTCATGAAAATATATAAAGTCTTTCATGAAAATAATAAGATGCAGGTAATTTAAAAGAATAAAATTCACTTCCCAAAATATATCTGCTTTGCAAAAATAGGCTTATGAAGAAAGATAATTTGATTGAACTTTCTAAATCTGGCCGGTTCTTCTTGCTGTTCTCAAATGTTTTCCTGAGAGTGTTGCACAGTATCTGAGCTTTAGTAACTTCATTCATTAACTGCTTTCCTTAACTTGACTAATTGCAAAGCTGCTGAGAGAGGTAAACCCAGACTGGTTTTGTGGTTTTGTGATTTTTTTTTTTTTTTTTTTTTTTTTTGAGACAGGATCTCACTCTGTCACCTAGGCTGAAATGCAGTGTGGCAATCTTGGCTCACCGCAGCCTCAACCTCCCAGAATCAAGTGATCTTTCCACCTCAGCCTCCTGAGTAGCTGAGACTACAGGCACATGTCACCATGCCCGGCTAATTTTTGTATTTTTTTTCTTTTTTTTTTTTGTAGAGACAGTGTTTCATCATATTACCCAGGCTGATCTCAAACTCCTGAGCTCAAGTGATCTGTTTGCCACGGCCTCTGAAAGTGCTGGGATTACAGGTGTGAGCCATCTCACCCGGCTCCTGGTTTTGTGATTGTTTTCAGGAGAAATGTGGAATGCATCCTTTCTTCTCTCAATTAGACATTGTATTGCAACTCAAACCTAATGGTAAGAAAATCATTCTAACAATAAGATCATGCTATTTCTGAATACAGTTTCACCACTATTGTTTCAAAATCTAGCAAAAAAAGAATCCAGAGATGCACTGGTGCATTCAGCAATTATATTTCTTTCTCAAATGCAGTAGGTTTTCCACTAGAAATGTAAGTATGCTATCATTTTCTGGGTAATCAAACCCACCATGGAAGTCTCAGGATTTGCAAATATGTGACATTATAAATTGTCATAGTTATCACTTTATTTTAGCTACCAAAGACTACAAGTGGGTATAACTGATACATTATTGTTATCTTATTGCCATATGGTTGAAATATTGACAGATTAGGGCCAAAAAGGTCTCCTCAAACATGCATATGAGATATTTTTTGGAGAGTCCTATGCAACATCTAGCATGATGATATATGCCTAAAGACATGTAAGTATGTGGGGGATGCTTCTAGTGATTACATTTATAAAAACTTTTTTTCATTCTTATTTCCTTAAAAGAAAGCATGACCCTTACTGTGGAAATAACATTCATCAAAACTATGGCAAAGTTTACAAATATAAAATGTAACTTGATGTTTATTTTTCCCAGGACATATATAGATGAATGATTTTCATTAAAAGCCTTGAAACAATATCAACTTTTAATTTTTATAATGTTACAGGACATATTTTCTAATTGCAGTGAATATAATCCAGAGGTTTCCTGAAATAGGAGAAACTCTCAGTTAATTACTACTCTCTTTAATGTTTCTTTTCTCCTGACATGCCTTTCTGCCTTATATTTGTTAGAGGTGTTAAGATGTATTCTATATGCAATATTTAAGGAAGAAAAGATATATATTTAAAAGAGACTAAAGTCTACTCAACAATATGGTGCAACAGTGGAAAGGATAGAGGCTTTGGAATCTACGTCTGGCTCTACAGTCTACTAGTTTTATGAATTTTGTCAAGTTATTTAAGATGATTCTCAGCTTCATCATCTGTGAAATGAGTATAATAACATGAGCCTCATAACATACTTCTATGATACTGAGTTACTATAATAAAATGCTTGGCATTTTGTAATTATCCTCTTGGTTTGCACTATTATGGTTTTATCTTCTCTAACAACATGAAGCAGAAGCCATTCACCATGTGATTCATTCTTTCTCTCTCTCTCAATCTCTCTCCACCCCTCTCTCATTCTCTCTCCACCTCTATCTCCCCTTGTCTCTTTTCTAAGTGAAGCTACCACTTTAATACAAGAGAAAGGCCCCGAGCAGCCCTGCCAGGGATGGAGTATGCTGGCCTCACAATCTTCTATTCCCATTCAGAAATGACCCTCAGTTCTCATCAGTAAGGTACTATGAAGCACCTGAAATTTGTTGAAACAATAAATTCCAGTTACTTAGAGGTTTTTTAATTTTTTTTTTCATATATCTGAAAAACAAAAATTTACCACTGTTACAATAATGTGATGAGTGAGGGTGCTGGGAACGGGTAAGGCAGACATTAATTATTTTTACTTATCCCAATTGTTACATAATCTCTAGTTGGAAGAAGCCTCTTTTGATTAGAGATAAATTCTTCTTACTCAGGTAAATACAAGTTTTTGTGTGAATTTAGTTGAAACTTCAAATTCAAAAGTTGTTTTTTAAAACTGGAGATTTCTCAAAAGCTTAAATTTTGAGGACTGGTATGAATCATATTTATTAATGCTTATAGTAAGGATAAATATAGATTTTAAGTCAAACTGACAATTCAAAGTATAAAATAAATTGGCTACTTAAATGTTTAAAATGTATCTATATTTGCTTAAAAATCAATGAAATTTTTTTAGGTGGAGACAAGGAGAAAGGTTGGATAAAATACGTTTAGACTTGGAATTTGATATTTAGTGTTTGGTCAAAATTTTCAAGTATTGAGATATTCTCTTTCCTAGAAGGACTCTGTAGATTACATGCTTGAAGAAATATAAGAACTATAAGCTTTCTTATAAGTTACACAGAGTAAAGTGTTCCCATATAAACTCACAAACTGAATTTTCATTGTGTTTTTTAGAGTTGCGGCAAGACTAGAAAATACATAATTTAATAATGTTTCCTCTCCATGGGGAAACTGGCACACATTTAGCAGAATTAAAGGGACATGTAAAGCTATGTTTATCAACAGCATGGCACAGACAAGACATTGTGAATCTGGAATAATTTACGTCCTATGATTAATTCTCCTTTATTCTTTGTGTGTCTTTTGTTTTGTCTTGAGCTTTGTATGCAAATTGGTGTCAGGAGACATGGATTTCTAAATGCAAAGAACAATTTGATAGCTATGGATGGAATGTTTAGAAATGACTCAACCCCGGGTTAATATAAACTAAAATTTATTTTAAGACTTCATTTTTTTTTCTAGGATAACTGCCATCATCAAAGCTACAATGATGAGATCTTGAGAAAAATAGTGTTGGGTTATTTCATAGGCATGTCCAATATTTTTCAGACTAATCTGAGTCCCTCTGAAGTGGTTTGTCAGCACAAGGTAATGAGGATCCTCCTTCTGGATGTAGTTAGACCCAAGAGAAATGTGGAAAAAACGAGATGAATAATTTGGGAGAAATATATTCATTTATCCATAAGGATTCCAAGGGTTTTGCCAAAAGCAAAGAGCTATCTAGAAATTGTCGTCAAGAGCAACAAATCACCAGGTGGAAAAATCAACAAGCTTGGAGCATTTAATTAGATCTTTTATCTTAATCATCAAGTCAAGTGTGTGTTCCTATGTGTGTTTAGGGAAGGGGGAATGTTATAGAAGGGGGATGAATTAACCCTTAGAAAGCTCAGAGCTTTAACAAAACCCGACATGAGATTTGCCAGATGGTTTGGTACCGGATTGTAAAACTTGAAACTAATCTTCGTTTAAGAGTTTTAATGGTTGTATCGCTCTTATAAAGCCTCTTGCTCTTCTGCTAGGGTGATTCTGCAAAATTATACATCAGGTTTTAAAGAAGGGCTTCTGTGAACAGAGTCTCCTTAAATCTCAGCTAAACTGAGCAAGAAGATTACATATTATTATGACATAGCACAGCATGATTTCCCCCCAGCAAACATAATGATGTGAAAAAAGGATAAAGCTATCACTCTGTGCAAAGAGGTCATCCAGAGAAGCACAAAAGAACAATGCTTTTCACACAGATTATCTGGACATGTTGAAATATTCACAGTGCAAAATCTCTTAATGTTTCTGTGCAGAACTCTGATCCTGACAAGCCTCCAGATCTAGATAGCAAGACCCAGTGATCATATATCTCTATGAGATGGCCTGCCCTAGGGCACCTGGGAGAGATTCTAGCTGTTCCAGACATTACTGGAAAAAAAAAAAAAACATAATATTTATTTCTCAGATGATATATATGTAGTCTTAGCTTATCAATTTTATTTCAAGGAGAAGACATTTTCCCACTTTTTATAATTTAAGTTTACTAAACTTTAAAAATGCATACTCTTATTAGCATGTGAAAGAACAAAAACAGCACAGAACTATAATTCTGCGTATATTTTCATATTTCAATATCCTGACTGAAAGCTAATTAAGATAGGTGCCATAAAAATGAAGTTGTATTGGATTTATGGGCTTCAAATATTCAGTGGAAGAGTTATGAATTATGAGTAGACAAGTTCAATCCATCAGCTAATTTAACATTAGGTAATCTGAACTTTCATATTTTAAATATCAAAACTTATCAGAAAATATCAGTAAATTATGTTTAAATCCCTAAAAGAATAATTTACGTTTGCTTATTCATTGGA
Source organism: Homo sapiens (assembly GCF_000001405.40). Classification (NCBI taxonomy): domain Eukaryota; kingdom Metazoa; phylum Chordata; class Mammalia; order Primates; family Hominidae; genus Homo; species Homo sapiens. Next base: position 92,194,244 of record NC_000023.11, on the reverse strand, counting down.
TTATTTCTTATTTTCACCTCTCTGAGAATCGCTCAAGATTACTCCTCAATGTAGGCACAGATATTTCAAACTAATGATCCCCAATTATTTTCTTAAGAACTAGACCCAAATAAAGACAAAACACAATACTATAAGCTTCATTTAGTCCTTATTTTCAAAGTACTTACTGTCACTGCTGTTACCATAAGTTCCTAAAAATATACTATGTAAGTAGTACCTGGGCGAGTCTCTTGAATGTTGTCCAATTTTTTAAAGATGGCTATGAATGCATTAAAATTTTTTCTAAACGTATGATTCAGATATAGCAGTTGTGCATTTTCCAATATTTTGTAAGTTGTCAGAGCAGGATTAAGGGAAGGGAAAACCATTCCATCAAAGTAGTTTTTTCCAGTAAGAATTTGAAAAGCTCAAAAGGCTGAAATCAATTGATTATTCAGCAGCTTACTGTAGAGTGATTTTTAGATAAACATTTATTTTAAAATTTTTTAAGAGGTGTGAGAGTAGAAATAATTCATGGGTTTATCACACACTTAAAAGTGTATCTTTCACTTGGAAATATTTCATGCATAAATCTCTTTAATGGGAAAATATACAGTAATTTATTATGTTAAAGCAATATATTATTTAAAATATAAAAGTATTATTTTGAAATTGGAAAAAAATATAGAGGAATAGTTTGGCCAAATTTATGCTCAAAATACTAAATTTTGTCATAATTAGTAAAAAATTATAATGTTCTTGTTATTAATGGAGATAAATATACTATAGGTGAAGTTAAACTCCTAAAGATTTAACTAGCCCCTACAAAGAAAAGCACGATATAGTAAAGATAGTTTAGGTTATTGGCATCATTCTTGTCCCCACCAAAAAACAAAAGTTATACATACTTTACTGCATGTAAAGTGGATGCCATCATGAAAATAATCTGATGTGTATCAATAATACTGAGATGATTCACCACTACTACACCCCACCCTAGGGTTAAAATGGATTAATCTTTCAGATTCACTAGAACACAAACACATAAAATAATGTCTTTTTCACTACCTTCAATATGTAATTTTGCTTGCAGGAAGTCTTTTTAATAACTATGTCAAATTAAAAAAAAATCCCCTTTAATTACATACAGAAGACTGGATTGATAATTCCTAAATGTTAAACAAGTCTGCCCATAACTATAAATGAATTATAATTGTATAACCTGGGGGCCAGGCATGGTGGCTCACACCTGTAATCTCAGCACTTTGGGAGGCAGAGGCAGGTGGATCACTTGAGATCAGGGGTTCGAGACCAGCCTGGCCAACATGGTGAAACCTCGTCTTTACTAAAAATACAAAAATTAGTTGGACGTGGTGGCACATGCCTGTAATCCCAGTTACTCGGGAGGCTGAGGCAGAAGAATTGCTTGAATCTGGGAGACAGAGGTTGCAGTGAGCCAAAACAGCACCACTGCACTCCAGCCTGGGCAACACAGAGAAACTCCCTCTCAAAACAAAACAACAACAACCACCACAAAAGTTGTATAACCCGGGTCTACTCTAGCTTGCCACCATTCCAATATCTGAATAATGGCACTAATTGTTTAAAAAGAGAATGGAGGCCGGGTGCAGTGGCTCACGCCTGTAATCCCAGCACTTTAGGAGGCCGAGGTGGGCGGATCATGAGGTCAAGAGATCAAGACCATCCTAGCCAACATGGTAAAACCCCATCTCTACTAAAAATACAAAAAAAAAAATTAGCTGGGCGTGTTGGCGCACGCCTGCAGTCCCAGCTACTCGGGAGGCTGAGGCAGGAGAATCGCTTGAACCCAGGAGGCAGAGGTTGCAGTGAGCCGAGATCACACCACTGCACTGCAGCCTGGGGACAGAGCGAGACTCCATCTCAAAAATAAACAAACAAACAAATAAATTTAAACATAAAAAAATAAAAAGAGAATGAAATCATGAACTTATAGTTTTTGTCTTTTATGCTTTCCAGTTATGTGCAAAAGGTTTGTCAGAGAGTTAGCGGCTATTACAATTATGAGTTAACTTTCTTTTTAAAAAGTCAATTATAATTCACAAAGTAAAGAATTATCAACCTTTTTGTTTCCTAATATTAGAACATTAAGCTCAAGTGTGGGGCAAGGAGACAGAATGGTTCTCCTTCATTAAAAAAATTATGACTCATATCAAGATCCATATCATAAGCCATAAAAAGGCACTTCTTCCTAACCTTGAGTTATTTGATGAAGAAATGTTAACATTTTAGAAAATTTATGTATTCACTTAGATCAAGATTCTAGGTAGAAACAAACTCTCACTAGATTTCTTGTCCCTGAGAAATCTGTTCTGGGAGGTTGCTGTCCTGTATGTCTTCTGAGTTCTTCGAAGATGCTATTTGTGCTTAATTATTTGGCAACATAAACATGGCCAAATAGAGGCACTAAATGTTATCATGAGAACTTGGCTTTGTCAGTGTAAACTCAAGAGTAAAGAATTAAAAGTATTCTATGGAGATACACTAAGCTCTTAATTAAAATTAGTTTTCAGTTTTCAACGCAAAAAGAACTTCACTAATTCATTATTTTTAAAACATTCATTAGCATTGCCTGCCAAACCTAAATAACTGCAATTCCTAGGTTGATGTCAATAACCCAATAATGAACGGAGTTAAGATGTATTCTATAATTAAAAAGTATGCTAGACTAAGCCATTGGTAAATTTAATTTCTTTTTGTAAGAACCTGCAGAATATGCATTTTGATTATATTAAAACCCCTTACATAATAATGACGTTTCTAATTTCTCAAGAGATCCTTCTAGGAATCTCAGGTGATAAGCCAAGAAAATATTTTGACCTAAATTGGTCTACAATCTACTTCAATTATCTGGGAACTTGAATAAAGAACAAAAGGACGAACAGAGAACAAATTGAAATAAGTAAAGGTAGAAAATAAAACAAATATAATTAGGAAAAGCAACAAGTCAGTTGTCTGAAATATGACTGGAAATAAATGTAGGTTAAAAAGATGATGTGAAATATAACTGCACTTTAACCTTGAGCAATTATCTATTGAATTTAGAAGCATAGTTAGGGAAAGGGACAATATTCCAGTATCAATGAAAACAACAAAATAGAATCCATGTTAGCTTAATTGGGGCAAATTTATCTTGACCAAAACAAAATGAATAACAAGCAAGTATGAAAATGGAATTTTAAAATTAGCATTAACTTATACAAACATAGAAAATTAACACTGGCTATTTTTGTATTAGGGCATTGGGAAAGATTTGCATATTATTACATTATAATCAAAAATAACAAAATCGTCAGTAAAATAGCAACAACGATCAGGTCCTCTTTAGACTAGATTCTCTAAATTTGAAAAACTGAGTGAAAAGTTCTTCAGTTTATTTCACGTCAGATTTTACAATAAGTAATCTCTAAAGACTAGTTAAAATGGGGGGAAATGAAAAGGTGAATGATCTATATTTCTGAGAGAAATTTCATTAAGCAGTAATTTGTGATTATTCCATATTATTATTTCCCATCAAATGTACTGAAAAAATTAATTGTTTATTTATTTAGTAGACTCATTGAAATTTTGTTTTAAAAGAAACAAAACACTTTCTCATTATATACCTGCATAGGAAGAATATTGGGACTGATGGGAAAGATAAGAATGTTGAAATTGTTTTGAAGTAAGAACCTGCAGAATATGCATTACGATTATATTAAAGCACTGCCTGGGGTGCAGGGACTACAGAAATAAACAAAATTTGTAGAAAAAGTTTTAAGCTACTATTTCTTAACCGTTTACTTCACATAGTAAACAGACACATAAACCAATGGAACAGAATAGAGAACTCAGAAATAAGACTGCACACGTACAACCATCTGATCTTCGACAAATCTGACAAGAGCAAGCAATGGGGAAAGAATTCCCTATTTAATAAATGGTGCTGGGAGAACTGGCTGGCCATATGCAGAAAATTGGAACTAGATCCCTCTTCCTTACATCTGATATAAAAATTAACACAAGATGGGTTAAAGACTTATATGTAAAACCCAAAACTATAAAAAACCCTAGAAGACAATCTAGGCAATACCATTCAGGGCATAAGCACAGGCAAAGATTTCATGATGAAAACACCAACAGCAATTGCAAAAAAAGCAAAAATTGAAAAATGGGATCTAATTAAACTAAAGAGCTTCTGCACAGCAAAAGAAACTATCATCAGAGTGAACAAACAACCTACAGAACAGGAGCATATTTTTGCAATCTATCTGACAAAGGTCTAATATCCAGAGTCTATAAGGAACTTAAGCAAATATGTAAGACAAAAACAAACAACCCCATTAAGAATTGGGCAAAGGACATGAAAAGACACTTCTCATAAGAAGACATTCTTGTGACCAACAAACATAGGCAAAAAAGCTCAACATCACTTATCATTAGAGAAATGCAAAGCAAAACCACAATGAGATACCATGTCACGCCAGTTACAATGGTGATTATTAAAAAATCAAGAAAAAATAGATGCTGGCGAGGTTGCACAGAAAAAGGAATGCTTTTACACTGTTGGTAGGAGTGCAAATTAGTTTAACTATTGTGGAAGACAGTGTGGCAATTCCTCAAAAATTTAGAACCAGAAATACCATTTGCTCCAGCAATCCCATTAGTGGGTATATACCCAAAAGAATATAAACCATCCTATGTTAAAGATACATGCACATGTATGTTCATTGCAGCACTGTTCACAATAGCAAAGACATGGAATCAGCCCAAATGTCCATCAGTGATAGACTGGATAAAGAAAATGTGGTATGGTACATATACACCATGGAACACTATGCAGCCATAAAAAGGAACAAGATCACGTCCTTTGCAAGGACATGGATCGAGCTGCAAGCCGTTATCCTCACCAAACTTATGCAGGAACAGAAAACCACACACCACATGTTCTCACTTATAAGTGGAAGATGAACAATGAAAACATATGGACACATTGAGGGGAACAACACACACTGGGGCCTGTCATGGGGCTGGAGGAGGGAGAGCATCAGGAAGAATAGCTAATGGATGCTGGGCTTAATAACTAGGTGATGGGTTGATCTGTGCAGCAAACCACCATGGCACATGTTTACCTATGTAAGAAACCTGCACATCCTGCACATGTACCCTAGAACTTAAAAGTTGAAAAAATGTATATATTAATTTATATTAATATATAGACTGCCCACAGGTTTTAGAATTTTAGTCATGTCACTAGATTAAACTTTGCTTACATTTATGGCTTTATGCTAATCAAATTTGACTATATTAAATTATATTCCAAGTATATACAATCATGGTAAAAGTCACATAAATCTGTGATTGCATTGAAGACACATATTATCACAAAGAAAGGTTTACAATTTTCTCCCTTGTACTGTCATAAAATCAATGCCTTTGGGATCATCTTTGAGATCACTTTCACGTATAAACTTAATAAATGTTGATGTCTTTGTAAGTTGTCTGAAAGAGTAGAGATTTGCAAAGATGCTTCACTTTACTTTTAAGACTTTTAATATTCTCAGAATTCTTTTGTGTTTCATCTCATCTACCCCGTCTCATGGCCAAATATGAGGAATGAATTAAATAAAGGGAGACAATTGGAAGACGATGCCCTCCTCCTATGCAATATGCTCTACTTTCTTTCAATAATGTTGTTTTCTTCTAATCACAACAAAAACTACTTGAATGGCTGCCCCAGAACTCCCTTCATTATAGTACCCCATTTGGACTTGTTCTCCCTTAGCAGATCTTCAAGATAAGTTTTCTTTCCCTACTATTACATCAAATACATCTTAGTCTTTGTTTTCTAAAGATGCTCTCTAGTACATAACAGTATAATCAGATTAATGTATCCTCAGTGTCAATGCCTTATTATGCTAATTCCTCTTCAGAGGAATTTGCACTTGTGGAGACCTAATACATTAGCCTAATGGAATAAATCAATCAATAACGAGAAATGTAGAGGCTGGAGCGAGAAAAGAGCTTAGAGAGAATAAAGAGTTATGCAGAAGAAACTGGGAGAAGAGCTCCCCACAGTCTTGCCTCATCACTTCCCCAGTTACTCCATTCCTGGTACCTAAGTCACAGCTTTTTTGACCTCTGCCACATAGGTTCTAGGAATTCCTACTCTCTTCAATGGGTAGAGATGCAGATGAGCCTCATCCTTGAAAGGAGGTGAAATTGTCTCAATCAGATGTTTCGGCTCCTAGTCTTCTCAATAACTTTATGTAATCAGTTCTCACATGTAAGTTTCACCCTCCCTAGGCAGTTCACTGAAGTCCTAATCTTTGGATTCCTATTTTTACTGAGTATAAAACTCACTACAGAAGATTTTCAGGTCTGTGATGACACAAAGAACAAATACCATCATGTTTATATTCAGGATTAGCCAAGGTTTAGAGCAAATAAAAGTCACTTGAACCTTCATTCCAGGGTACAAATAATCTAATTATGGTATTTAATAAGACTTGGTAATGCTCTAAATCAAATTTTCAGGAAATTTTGCATTTCTTTCTTTGTTAAACGAAAACCTCAACCATCTGTTATTTCAGCAGTATTGACAGAATTATAAACAACAGGAGAACGTAATAATTTTCTTATATTAAGATCTATATATTACCTTGGGAATTATTTCTGGTTTTGACACAGATTCCTCTCCCTACCTTAAATTCATTCCATTTAAAATTCAACCTTCTGTGACAGGCAGAATAATAACCCCCCTCAAAAACTGTCCACATGCTAACCATTAATTTTGTGAGTATATTAAATTATCAAAAAAAGGACTCTGCAGATGTGACTAAATTAAGAATCTTGAGGTCGCAAGATAATTCTGAGTTATCTGGGAGATTGCAATGTAATCACAAGGGTCTTTGTAAGGAAAGAAGAAGGAATGAAAGTCAGAGAAGGTATGAGGGGAGGTCAGATGGATGTGGCCTTGAGCCCAGGACTGCGGGTAGCCTCTAAAATCTGGAAAAGGCAAGATAACAGATTCACCTCTAGAGCCTATAGAAGGAATGTAGCCCTGTCTACACCTTAATTTTAGCCTCATTAGACTGATTTGGGATGTCTGACTCCAGAACTGTAAAATAGTGATTTTTTTGTTGTTTTAAGCCACTAGGTTTGCTGCATATGTTACAGCAGCAGCAACAGGAAGCTAATACACCTACTAAAAGCTAAATTGAATTCAAACCACTGATATTTTGAAATATATAAGTAAATAGGTTAGACACAAAACACTTTGCATTTAACGTTTTAGTTGACACATAACTTACGGGGAACAATGTGATATTTTGATACAAACTACATATAATGATCAAATCAGGATAATTAGTATACTCATGACCTTCAATATTTATTATTTCTTTGTGTTGGGAACATTCAAAACTCTCTCTTTTAGCTCTTTAAAGATATACAATAAATTATTATTAACTATAGTCACCCTACAGTGCTATGAAAGCTAGAACCTATTCCTCCTATCTATCTGTAATTTTGTGTCTGTTAACCAACCTCTGGCTATACTCCCCTTCAATATTACCAGCTTCTAGAAACAACTATTCTCTTTTTTTTTTTTTTTTTTTGAGACGGAGTTTCGCTCTTGTTGCCCAGGCTGGAGTGCAATGGCGCAATCTCGGCTCACCGCAACCTCCGCCTCCCGGGTTCAAGCCGTTCTTCTGCCTCAGCCTCTTGAGTAGCTGGGATTACAGGTGCATGCCACCACGCCTGGCTAATTTTGTATTTTTAGTAGAGACGGGTTTCTCCATGTTGGTCAGGCTGGTCTCGATCTCCCGATGTCAGGTGATGCACCCGCCTTGGCCTCCCAAAGTGCTGGGATTACAGGCGTGAGCCACTACGCCCAGCTAAAACCACTATTCTACTCTCTACTTCTACGAGATCAACTTTGTTTGCTCCCACATATGAATGAGAACATGCTCTCATATGTGCCTATTTCTGTGCCTGGCTTATTTCACTTAACATAATGTCCTCCAGGCTCATCCATGTTTCCAGGAATGATAGGATTTCATTCATTTTTATGGCTGAATAGTATTCAATTCTGTATATATACCATATTTTCTTTATCATTCATTTGTTGATAGGCACTTAGGTTGATTCTATATCTTAGCTATCATGTATAGTGCTATAATAAACATGAGGTTCAGACATCTCTTCAATATACTGACTTCCTTTCCTTTGGATATATACCCAGTAGTAAGATTGCTGAATCATATAGTTGTTTTATTGTACTTTTTTGAGGAACCTCCAAACTGTTTTCCATAATGGCTGAACTAATTTACATTTCTACCAAAAGCCTATAAAAGTTCCCATTCTCTTCATCCTTGCCAGCATTTGCTATGTTGTGTTTTGTTTTGTTTTTTCTTTTTTTTTTAATAGGTATTCTATTTAGGGTAAAATTATTTCTCATTGTGATTTGGATTTGGATTTCCCTGATGATTTGTGATGTTGAACATTTTTTCATATACTTATTGGCCATTTGTATGTCATTTCCCAAATCACTTGCCCATTTTTAATTGGATTATTTGTTTTCTGCTATTGAGTTGTTTGAGTTCCTTGTATATTCTGGATATTAATCTCTTGTTGGCGAATACTTTGCAAATATTTTCTCTCATTCTGCAGGCTTCCTCTTCACTCTGTTGATTGTTTCTTTTGCTTTGCAGAAGACTTTTAGTTTGCTATAATCCCATACTTCTATTTTTGCTTTGTTGCCTGCGCTTTTGAGGTCTTATCTATGAAATCTTCTCCCAGATCAATGTTCTGAAGCATTTCCCTTATGTCTTCTTATAATTGTTTTATAGTTTTGGGTCCGACATTTAAGTATTGAATTCATTTTGAGTTGCTTTTTGGATATGGCGAGATATGAGTCTAGTTTCATTTCTCCTGGATAAGGACATACAGTTTTCCCCACACTATTTATTTACTTATTTATTTAAATTTTTAATTTTTTAGACACAGGGTCTAGCTCTGTCATCTAGGCTGTAGTGCAGTGGTGCAATCATAGCTCACTGCAGCCTCGAACCCTTGGTCTCAAGTGATTCTCCTGCCTTAGCCCCCCGTGTAGCTGGAACTACAGGCACAGGCAATGAAATAGCCCCAGTTATATCATATTGTTAATATGTTAAATTACATAGCAAAAGGGACGCTGCCGATATGACGAAATTAAGAATGTTGAGGTGGTGATATTATTCTGAATTATCTGGAAGATTGCAATGAGTTATCTGGGAGAAAGCTTATTTTGTTCCAGCTTACTTATACTATATATTATATTATATTATTACCAATCCCAGTTTATTTATTTATTATTATTTTTGTTGTAGAGAGGAGGTCTTGCTTTGTTTTCCAGGCTGGTCTTGAACTCCTGGCTGTAAGTGATCCTTCTGCCTAGGCCTTCCAAAGTGCCAGGATTATAGGCATGAGCCACTCTGCCAGGCCCCAGCACCATTTATTGAAGACACTATTCTTTCCTTAGTAATATTCTTGGTGCCTCTATTGAAAATTAGTTGGCTGTATATATATGGATTTATTTTTCAGTTCTCTATTATGTTGTCTTGGTTTATGTATCTGTTTTTATGCCAGTACCATACTGTTTTTGTTACTATAGCTTTGTAGTATATTTTGAAGTCAGGTCATCTAATACCTCCAGCTTTATTCTTTCTATTCAAGATTGCTTTGGTTATTCAAGGTCTTTTGTGGTTCCTTACAAATTCTAAGATTGCTTTTTTCTATTTCTGTAAAGAATTTCATTAGTAATTTGGTAAGGATTGCATTGAATCTTTAGATCACTTTGGGTAGTATGGTCATTTTAACAATATTAATTTTTCCAATGCATGAAATAAGATGTCTTTCCATTTTATTGTAGATGCAAAACATTTTAAATTGCAACCACAGTCTTGAAATGATTGGCTAGTGATAAACGAAGACATATGAGGATCTAAATAAAGTCAGTGACTTTGGCAGTGTCTACATTTTCACCAAAGCTTAAACATATATAAAATCTCATGACATTTGGTCACTAGTGAATTGCATGGGACAAAAGACAAGGGTTCTCATACAGTCATTCACTCATTTATTCAATAAATATTTACTGAGCGCCTACTATTTGTTATACACTGTTCCACATGCTGGGGCTACAGTTATGAATAGAACCTTAAAAACTGCCCGCCTGAGATTATATTCTAATGGAATGTAAAAGGCAATAAACAAAAAAAAAAAATAGTCTATTATATAATGTCCAGTGCTGTGGAAAAACTTTAACATGAAGATGGGGGATAGAAATTTCTGGAGAGTGGGGTTGCTATTTTACATAGAGTGATCAAGAAAGGACTCATCGAGGAGCTGACATTTAACAGGAATGGGCAAAACCACAAGCCATATCTCAGGCAGACATAACTGCAAAAGCAACGTTTCTGACATAAGGGCTTGTTTGCTGTACGTGGTGTGTCTGCTGAATAACGAGGAAGCCAGCGTGGCAGGAACAGAATGATCAAGGAAAATAGAAGCATAAGATTCAGAGAAGGATCACAAGACCTGTCATATTGTAGGGTTTTTTAGACCATTATAAATACATTGACATTTACTCTGAGATGGCAAAACATTTGAAAATTTTTAACAGTGGAGTGACATGATCTGACTTGAATTCTTAAAAGGTTTCTCAGCCAGGCACGGTGGCTCACGCCTGGGAGGCTGAGGTGGGAAGATCACCTGAGGTCAGGAGTTCAAGACCAGCCTCACCAACATGGAGAAACCCCATCTCTACTAAAAATACAAAAATTAGCCAGGTGTGGTGGCACATGCCTGTAATCCCAGCTATTTGGGAGGCTGAGGCAGGAGAATCACTTGAACCTGGGAGGTGAAGGTTGCAGTGAGCCAAGATTGTGCCATTGCACTCCAGACTGGGCAACAAGAGTGAAACTCTGTCTCAAAAAAAAAAAAAAAAAAAAAAAAAGGTTTCTCTAGATGATATGCAAATAGATTGGAGGACAATGGCAAATGTAGGAATGCCTGTTTGGAAACTAGTAATCCAAGAGCAAAATGATGATGGCTTAGACAAGAATGGTAGCAGTGGAGATAATAAAAACTGGTTGGATCTATATATTTTGAAGGTAGTGTCCCACAGGACTTGTTGAAAGATTAGATGTGTGGTATGGCAGAAACAAAGGCGTTAAGAATAATGTCACAGTCTTTTCAGGGGCAACAGAGATGTTAAAGACTCAAGAAGAGCAGGCTTGTAGGTAGGGAATCAAGAGTTGAGTCTTGGGATTGTTAAACTAAAAATACCTGTGAGACATACAGGTGGAGACTCTGAAGTTTAGGGGAGAGGTATGAGGTGGTGTATTAGTCCACTTTCATGCTGCTGATAAAGACATACCCGAGACTGGGCAATTTATAAAAGAAAGAGGTTTAATGGACTTACAGCTCCACATGGCTGGAGAGGCCTCAATCATGGTGGACAGCAAGGAGGAGTAAGTCATCTCTCACATGGATGGCAGTAAGCAAAGAGCGAGAGCTTGCACAGAGGAACTCCTCTTACAAAACCATCAGATGTCTTGAGACTTATTCACTATCACAAGAACAACATGGGAAAGACTTGCCCCCATGATTAAATTACTTCCCACTGGGTCCTTCCCACATCATGTGGGAATTCAACAGGAGATTTGGGTGGGGACACAACCAAACCATATCATTCCACCCCTGGCCCCTTCCAAACCTCATGTTCTCACATTTCAAAACCAATCATGCCTTCCCAACAATCTCCCAAAGTCTTAACTCATTTTAGCATTAACTCAAAAGTCCAAAGTCCAACATCTCATCTGAAACAAGGCAAGTCCCTTCCACCTATGAGCTTGTAAAATGAAAAGCAAGTTAGTTACTTCCTAAATACAATGGGGGTATAGGCAATCGGTAAATACAGCCATTCCAAATAGGAGAAATTGGCCAAAACAAAGGGGCTACAAGTCCCATGCAAGTCCAAAATCCAGCAGGTCAGTCAAATTTTAAATGTCCAAAATGATCTCCTTTGACTCCCTGTCTCACATCCAGCTCACACTGATGCAAGAAGTGGGTTCCCATGGTCTTGTGCAGCTGCACCACTGTGGCTTTGTAGGGTACAGCCTCCCTCCAGCTGCTTTTACTGGCTGGCATTGAGTGCCCGTGGCTTTTCCAGGTACACAGTGCAAGCTGTCAGTGGATCTATCATTATGGGGTCTGGAGGATGGTGGCCCTCTTCTAACAGCTCCACTAGGCAACACCCCAGTGGGTACTCTGTGTGGGGGCACCCACCCAATATTTCCCTTCTGCACTGCCCTAGCAGAAGTTCTCCATGAGTGCCCCACCCCTGCAGCAAACTTCTGCCTTGACGTCCAGGCATTTCCATACATCCTCTGAAACCTAGGCAGATGTTCCCAAGACTCAATTCTTGACTTTTGTGCACCTATAGGTTCAACACCATGTGGAAGGTGCCAAGGCTTAGGGCTTGCACCCTCTGAAGCCATGCCTTGAGCTGTACCTTTGCCCCTTTTAGTCATGGCTGTGGTGGCTGGGACACAGGGCACCAAGTCCCTAGACTGCACATAGCAGAGGGACTCTGGGCCTGGCCCGTGAAACCATTTTTCCTCCTAGGTCTCTGGGCCTGTAATGGGAGGGGCTACTGCAAAGGTCCTTGATGTGCCCTGGAGACATTTTCCCCACTGTCTTGGGGATTAACATTTGGCTCCTCATTAATTATGCAAATTTCTGCAGCCAGCTTGAATTTCTCCTCAGAAAATGAAATTTTCTTTCCTATCACATTGTCAAGCTGCAAATTTTCTGAACTTTTATGCTCCATTTTCCTTTTAAAACTGAATGCCTTTAACAGCACCCAAGTCACATCTTGAATGCTTTGCTGCTTAGAAATTTCTTCCACCAGCTACCCTAAATCATCTCTCTCAAGTTCAAAGTTCCACAAATTTCTAGGGCAGGGGCAAAATGCTGCCAGTCTCTTTGCTAAGGCATAACAAGACTCACCTTTGCACCAATTTTCAACAAGGTCCTCATTTCCATCTGAGACCATCTCAGCCTGGACCTTATTGTTCATATCATTATCAGCATTTTTGTCAACGCCATTCAACAAGTCTCTAGAAAGTTCCAAAGTTTTCCACATTTTCTTGTCTTCTTCTGAGCCCTCCAAACTCTTCCAACCTCTGCCTGATACCCAGTTCCAAATTTGCTTTCACATTTTTTGGTATCTTTTCAGCAGCGTCCCACTCTACTGGTACCAATTTACTGTATTAGCCCATTTTCACACTGCTAATAAAGACATACCTGAGATTGGGCAATTTACAAAAAAAAAAAAAAGTTTTAATGGACTTACAGTTCCACATGGCTGGAGAGGCCTCAAAATCATGGCGGAAGGCCATAAGAAGCAAGTCATGTCTTACATGGATCACAGTTCGCAAAGAGCGAGAGCTTGTGCAGGGGAACTCCTTTATAAAAGCATCAGATCTTGTGAGACTTATTCACTATCACAAGAACAGCACGGGAAAGACTTGCCCCCATGATTCTATCTTCCACCAAGTCCCTCCCACAACATATGGGAATTCAAGATGAGATTTGGCTGAGGACACAGCCAAACCATATTAGGTGGGGATACAAATTTGGGATTCATCAATATATAGATAATATTTAAAGCCATCGGACTTTACAAGCTCACCAAGAGCAAGAGACTAGATAGGGAAGATAAACTGTTTGAGGATTGCATCCTGGGGCACTAGAATGTTTAGAGGCTAGGAAGATGAGGAAGATGCAGTAAAGGAGAGTAAAAACGAATGGCTTTGAGGTAAAATAATTAAGAGAGTGATATGGTTTGGCTCTGTGTCCCCACCCAAATGGCATGGCAAATTGTAATCCCCACGTGTTGAAGGAGGGGCCTGGTGGGAGGTGGTTGAACCATGGGGGCTGACCTCCCCCTTGCTGTCCTCATGATAGTGAAGGAGTTCTCACAAGATTCTGTTGTTAAACAGAATGTAGTGCTTCCTCCTTCACTCTCTTCTGCTCCACCATGGTAAAACGTGCTTGCTTCCCCTTCAACTTCTGCCATGATTGTAAGTTTCCTGAGGCTTTTCAGCCATGCTTCCTGTACAGCCTGCAGAAATGTGAGTCATTTAAACCCCTTGTCTTCATAAATTACCCAGTTTCAGGTAGTTCTTTATAGCAGTATGAGAACAGACTAATACGGAGAGAGCGAGGTCCAGGAAACCAACTGAAGAAAGTAAATCAAGTAGGAATGATCAAGTGATCCACATGTTGCAGGTAGATCAAGTGAGATAAGAACTGATCACTGAATATGGTAACATAGAGAGAAGTACTCTACTGCTGATTGCTGCTTCAGTAGAGTGGTAGAAAAAAGTCTTGATTGGAAGGAATAAAATATGTTCCGTCAGTATCCCCAAACGTGTTTCAGATTTCTACAACTGTATTACCTCTAATTGCCTTTTGAATAAGCTCAAAAGGACTCTATGATATAAGCATGGAATTCATTTTTAACAGTGCTTATTCCATTAAGTAAATTATACGCAAAGAAATAAGCACTTTCCTGCTAAGAAACTGACTTTTTTAGATAACAAAGCCTTTTCAATGAAACTGAACATTTTCATTTCACTATTTTCCTTTTTCTGTATCATTCCAGCATATGGTTGAGCAGTTTAAACACAGGTCTTTATTATATACATGCTCATATGGCCAGAGATAATGTAATTTTTATGTTCATTTTTTGAAATTCAAATGGGTTAAAATGTTCAAAGTTTTGTGTTATCCTTAGTGATGGATATATAAAATAACATAAAGGGAAAGCAAAAATACTTTTGAAAAGAGGGGCAACTTCAAGTTTTCTGCCTTTTAGAAAATTAAACCTGATGCCTTTATATATTTATAAACTTCAGAAATGTCACACTGCATTTTGTAACATTCACTTGCTTTAACAAAGTCAAATGGAAAATTAAAGTAATAATTCAGATAGTTTAAGATCGAAATAGTCAGCTTTTGTTTCCAGTGGTGATAAATTTGAGGAAATGTGATCTTTTGGGTTGGATTAGTTCAAATTATTTTATTCTTCTGACTTCTTTGAGCATATGGGGTAACATGAGAGTTACTACAAATTAGAAAACTAGTGATCTCAAAGAATTAACTACGTAAACCTATGTGTTAGCGTGCATGCTGGGAAAAGCTGATAAAAAAATAGAGTTATTTGAAAACTTCTCACTGGAATCCATGTTTTTAGATATTATTAATGACAGTGAATAATGTCCTTGTCCATTTTTTGTAAAATATTTCATTTAATTTTGAAATAGTCTCTGAACTAGATTTGAAACAAAAAAATATTTTTCTGTATAACCATCATTCTTAATTATAATGAAATTTGTTTGATGTGTAGTTAAATGATAAAATGCATAATTTAAATTATTAGGTGAAAACTTTTCAAACTTAAGAAATATCTGTATATACAAAAGAATATTCTCCTTCTATCCTTGGTAAATCAAAATGAAGGCCAATAATACATGAATTATTCAATAAGCTTTAAATCATAGAAAACTTGAATACAGGCCATCAGAAGTGAAAGTCTTCATAATTATCTCATTAATTTTATTTAACATAAATAACCAATTTAGAGATGATGTAGTTCAATGTATACATTTCACAAATTGCCTGAATTTGTTATAATATTTTACCACTTTCAAAAATTTTAAAGTATGGAGACATGCCATTAGGCCAGTGTTTTAAATAACAAAGAATAATCTCATGAGACTGTGAATGTCAAATAAATTTAATGTTTGATTCTGGGGATATGTCTGTTGCTAGATGCAATTTTATGCAATACTATGTATAAAGAAGAAAATAATGAATGCAGCCATCCTAGTTTACTGAAGAACATTCACTGTTCTGTGTTTAAAGTAAGTTGCAAAATCCAGGCATTATTCTTCAGTTTTCATTATTTTGAGAGTCACTGGGGGCTTTGGGATTGCAGCAAGAATTAAAGTGCTTTCATTCTACCTAGGGTTCCTACTGTTCGTGAAATAGATTTCCAATTATTTTTGTTAAAATGTTTTAGTTTCTGTACTGGTGAGTTATCTTTAAAACCAAGGAAAGAGAAAGCAACAGAATTGCTCTCACAATTCATTTATCCAAGGCTTCTAATCCTTCTCTGAAACAAAGACTCCATGGAAGGAAATTCATGGGTAAAAAGTGGGTAATGGTAATGGTGGCTGGAAATCAAAGCAAAACAAAAACTCTTCTGTACTACCAAATATAGAACATTTTCCAAATTGTGTTTGTGTGTGTGTATATGTATATATAATATAATTTATCATTAATATATAATTTTCCAAATTGTATGTATAATTGTGTACATATAGTATATATGTATCCATAAATAAGAATCCTCAAGTGACTGTGATAATATACAATCCTTATATACCAACTAAAAACATGTACCAAAAAGTTGGTTCACCTAAGATGTTCTAGGTTTTGTCTGAATATTGCACCAAAATTCACAGATTTAACTCACAAAATGACTATTAGGTTTGCACATGTTTCAGTACTTCAAAATATGTTTCCAAAATTTATACAGGCCGGCCCCAGAGGGAAAAATTTGTTTGGCTAAATTATGGCAAACTTAAAAATCGCCCCATCATGCAATTGTAACTTTTATTGTCTGTTAAGAAACAGGCCATCTCAAGGATGAGAGTGTTAGAGGTCATTCCAATTCCTGATTCTAGTCCCACAGAAGCTTTTGTGATAAAATCAGAATACATCACTATTTGCTGAGCTTTTAACCTCCACTCTCTAATGGCTAGGTTTATTGCTGGTACAAGAACTTCTCCAAAGACATTTAAGCATAGAGCACCATGCCTCAAACTAGTTTGAAATAAGAATAACTACCTTGTGGCCGGGCACAGTGGCTCAATCCTGTAATCCTAGCACTTTGGGAAGCCAAGGCAGGCAGATTGCTTGAGGTCAGGAGTTCAAGACCAGCCTGTCCAGCATGGCAATACCTCATCTCTACTAAAAATACAAAAATTAGCTGGGCGTGGTGGTGCATGCTTATATAATTCCACCTACTTGGGAGGTTGAGGCAGGAGAATCGCTTGAACCCGGGAGGCAGAGGTTGCAGTGAGCCGAGATTGCCCCACTGCACTCTAGCGTGGGCAACAAAGCAAGACTCCATCTCAAAAAAAAACAACAACCAAAAAAAAAAGAAAAAAAAAAACTACGTTGTACTTTAATGCTTAAAATATCTGCTAGTTACTGTAAGATCTTTGCTCCCCACTCCCAACACCCGCAAAAAGTGTGCCAATCTGTTCTAAGGATCTGTAGTGTGGAGCCTAGAGAACATTAAAGAACATGACAGAAGCTGTAAACCTAGGTAGAGACATTGTAGTATCTCTATGTATCTATGTTTTCTCTTCTCGCACTCCAACATAAAATAAATTATCTCTCAAGAGCTAGATGAGCTTGGTCTTAAATGTCGCATGTGGGTATGCTTATAGTATTCTGGGAAATGTATTTATGTATGTTTATTTGTGCTGATATATCCTTGTATGAAGGAGGCACTGAATATGTTATCTAGTTCATTATTTGACAGTTTGAGTTACAGAACTAGAAATGGTTTTATGATCAAGTATACAAGGGTTAACGTATAAAATTGACAAATGTTTCGCATGTTGAATCTGGATCTCATTCTTGAAACAATGTTCCCTACTATATTGCACACTGAATTAATGTATGCATTGGAGGTGTTGTAGAAATAGAAGAAAGTTAAACTTGGGAGATTAGGGGAGCTTTACTTTTCAAACAACTCAGCACGTTGCCTGAAAATATCTACAAGCCTGTGATTTGGCTAATCCATTAAATTCCTGTGGCATTTCAAGTGAAGCTTTTAAAGCCCTCGTGAAATCCATTACAATGAATATAAGAATCAACTCAAAAGTATCTCTAAATCTAGTCATATTTGTCAAGATCCTATCTGAGAAGTAAGATCCTAGGTGCATCCTAAATACATGGAAACAAAGGTGGCATTCCAATGATGCACCATATGTCAGTTGCTCTCGTTCACTCTGCTTCATTCTGCTAAGCTCCTAATGAGGCAGTGGTTGGTAGTGAAAAGGATGACATTAAAAAACATCAGCAGTTTGTGTTCTGGTTTCATTTTTGCCACTAACTTCTTCTGTGGTTTTAAGACAGTTACTCTGACCATTAAATGGAAAAATTGCAATATTTTACAAAAAGAGGAAATCAATCTGGATAACTCGCCTTCATGGAATTATAGATTAGAAAGTTCTTATTTTGGAAAATTTAGTTATAACAGAGGTGGGTGAACGCCTAAGGAATACACGTATATTTTTGTCTCTCTCTCTCTCTGTGTGTGTGTGTGTGTGTATATATATACACACACACACACACACACATATATGTATACACACACAAATACTCTTTTCAGGGAAGAATATCTTTATTAGTTACAGGGACACATGTATATTTTTGTCTAAGGAATGCATGTATATTTTTGTCTCTATATATGCATTTATATGTATAGATAGATACATAGATAGATATATAGATATAAATATAATTTTCAGGGAAGTCTATCCTTATTAGTTAGTGGTAATTTCTATATAGGATTCATACCTGCTTCAAAAATTTAGAAAATTTTTTTAACTAAAGGTGCCTAGCATTTCAATGCTATATACTCACTAAAACTGTTCACTTACTCATCTCAAATTATGTTTTGCACTTCATGGCTTTCTTGCAAAATCAGACTTTCTTTTTCTGTTAAGTTAAACTTTATTATAGGCTGTGGCAGATTTTCATGGAAGCTGCCGATGTACAAGATCTACCTTTCTTTTCCCTGAATGATTAACTGACAGTTTAAAAGTTTTGTAAATTACGGCTGGGTGCGATGGCTCATGCCTGTAATCTCAACACTTTGGGAGGCCGAGGCGGGTGGATCACCTGAGGTCGGGAGTTCGAGACCAGCCTGGCCAACATGGAGAAACCCCATCTCTACCAAAAATACAAAAAATTAGCTGGGCATGGTGGTGCATGCCTGTAATCCCAGCTACTTGGGAGGCTGAGGCAGGAGAATCACTTGAACCCAGGAGGCAGAGGTTGTGGCGAGCCAAGATGGCGCCACTGCACTCAAACCTGGGCAACAAGAGTGAAACTCTGTCTCAAAAAAAAAAAATTGTAAATTATATATGCTTTTATGCTGGAACTAAGCTTCTTTGGATTATTGTGTTGTGGCTAACCTCATTTAATAGCTGCTGAGAAAGTATCATTTTTCATTACTGAAGTACAAGGAGCTATAAAGTTATAATTTTGCATACCTCATAGAACAAAATATAGTTGAGCCTCTAGGTCTTAACATCAAGTAGTAACATTTATTTTGGATAGTTTAACAACTTAACTATCTGTAGTCAAGAGACCTCAGAAATATAAGTAAAACATGGATGGCATGGAGACTTGTACATTGTAATTGTCCTACATTTAGCGGACGTTATCAGAGCTGCCATTCCTGAGACAACTAGATCTTCTTTCTTTTAAAATCAAACATTCTCTTGGTTTCAGCATGCAATCTTCTCAAATGAACATTCCCAGTTATGACTTAGCTCTTCATCCAGCATTTGATTCTCTACATTTTTTGATTCTCACGTGCATATACCATTAATATCCATGACCTAATAAAAACTGAACTCATTATGGTCCCTCAGTACTCAGTCACCCTGTTTTCCCGTTAACATTATGATCAGCATCATTAGCAAGCAGTGAAAAAGTCACTTTGGTAGCCTCCGTTCCAAGAGTGTGAACTCAATGTCAAAAAACCCTCTAGTATAAAATCATCACATTCTCCTTCAAGGTAACCAGCAATATTTTCACCTTTTTCTCTTTTATCCTTCTTTGCTTATTTAAAACCAGGTTTTATGAGGTTTTTTTTTCTTTTTGTATTATTTTTTTTAATCATACTGTCTAGAGTCTTCTGTTTTGAAAATGACCTTTGAGATTAAAAATAAAAGTAGCTCCCTCCAAGTTTCTGTGGATCATTTAATGTGTCTTTTCTCTCCATAATAGGTCTGCTTTGATCTTTATCGTCTTTCTAACAAAGCCTCTTGTTTAGGTGAGCAACTGGTTTTCTGATTGCTGTCCCTCACTACTTTTTTTTTTTTTTTTTTTTTTTTTTTTTGAGACTGGGTCTCACTCTATCACCCAGGCTGTCATGCTGTGGTGCTATCACGACTCACTGCAACCTTGACCTCCCAGGCTCAGGAGATCCTTTCAGCTCAGCCTACCGAGAAGCTAGGACTACAGGTGTGCACCACCATGCCTCACTAATTTTTGTATTTTTTTGTAGAGATGGGGGTTCTCCATGTTGCCCAGGCTGGTCTCAAACTCCTGGGCTCAAGCAATATTCCTGCCTCCCAAAATGCTAGAATTACAGGTGTGAACTACCACACCTGGACTTTCTCATTACATCCTTGAAAGATAAAATTACAAAATACATTTTGAGGTCACAGCCTATAAAATCAGACTTTCCATAGATGAAAATAATATATGCTCATTGAGTAGGAAAGTAGGGTCTCTATATTTTTTTTTCTATGTGACTGTTTCTCTGGTGTATGTTGAAGTCATCAATAATATGTGACCTGATCAATACTGACTCCTTATTTTCAAGGAGGTACCAAATGGTATGGTCTTCCTTGTCAGATTATGTCATTGTTTACATCTAACAAACTGAGAAACTACCAGAAAAAATTTAAAGCAATGATTGCCTCAAACAACAACAAAATGAATTGCCTTTTTCATTTTCTTTATTCTAAAAAACAAAACACATAGTAGGGGCTAATTCATGGTTGAGCAGGTCTTTGGAACTAAATAAAGTTTAGTGATTTAAAAATGATTACAAATCAAGTTTTCAAGGACAAGTTTACCAGCATTAAGTCCTAGACTCTTAGGACATGTCATCTAAAATCAAACTAATAGCAAAAGGCATACTCTGTATTGCTTAATGGTTTAAGACTCCTGAAAAGAAAGACTAATGCCTTTCCTGGCATTATTTAGGTAAAGCAGTTTTTCAGTGACAACCTAAAGCTAGGAAATATAATTTGATATATTTTATGTGGTCATAGAAGATTAAAACAATGGAACAATTTCTGCTTGCCACATTGTATAGATAATTTATTTGGACATTTTATGAAAAAACACCTTAGAAAAAGAGGTGATGACCATAAAACAGTTTTGAATTTACCTTAAGTACTTTAGGAATTACCTTAAGTACTACACCTTAAGTACTATAGGAATAATTATACAGTGTCCAGTGACTGTGATACTTCCATGCATGTAAAAATAAGACTCATTCATTGTAAACATACAAAGAAACCTATATTTCTTTAAGAATAATCTCAGGCTTCTTCAAGTAATTTGGTTTCCTTGGAGCCTATCTAGGACCCCATATAAATGTTCTTCTTTAACCAATGGAAACTATATGCTGTTATGTGCTGAATTAAGCATTTTGCTCATAAGGTTTCTTTGTTTTGTTTTGCTTCCTTTCCACTGAATCTTGAGCAATGGGGCAGTTTTACTAATAATCTAATGTCAAAAAAAAATTTGTTAACTAGCTGGGCATGGTGGCACACACCTATAGTCCCAGTTACTCGGTAGGCTGAGGCAGGAGGATTCCTTGAGCCCAGGAGTTCAAGACTGCAGTGAACTATGATTTTGCCACTGCACTCCAGCCTGGGCAACAGAGACCCTGTCTCAAAAGAAAAGAACAAAAACAAACAAACAGACAATCAAAAACAAAAAATAAAACAACAACAAAAAACTTTGGTGATAAAATCAATAAACAAACAAGGAATATACAGAAAATTCCTCAACCTGATAAAGGACATCTATGAAATAACTGCAGCTAACTCAAACTTAATGGTGAAAGAATAATGCTTCCTTGCTAAGATCAGGAACAAGAAGAGGATATATGCTTTTACACAGCAATTAAACATTGCACTGGAGGTTCTAGCTAGGACAATCAAGCAAGAAAAAGAAATGAACAGCATCCATATTGCAAAGGAAGAAGTAAGACTATCTCTATTTGAAGACGACAGGATCTTATATATAGAAAATCCTAACTGAATGTCTATGCAGTAGCAATGAATAATCCAAAAATAAAATTTAAGAATACAATTCTACTTACAATAGCATATAAAAGGATAAATATTTACTTAGGAATGAATGTAATAAAAGAAGGGCAAAGCTTGTACACTGGAAATTCAAAATAGTGTTGAAATAAAGAAGTTCTAAATAAATGAAAAGGTGTACCATGTTCATAGATCAGAATACTTAATATTGTCAAGATGGCAACATTATTCAAACTTACGTACAGATTGAGCATAATCCCTACACAAATTCAAACTGGGCCGGGCACGGTGACTCATGCCTGTAATCTCAGCACTTTGGGAAACTGAGGCAGGCAGCTCACCTGAGGTCAGGAGTTCGAGACCAGCTTGGCCAACATGGTGAAACCCCATCTCTACTAAAATACAAAAAATTAGCCAGGCATGGCGGCACATGCCTGTAATCCCAGCTACCCAGGAGGTTGAGGCAGGAGAATAGCTTGAACCCAGGAAGCACAGGTTACAGTGAGCTGAGATCACACTACTGCACGCCAGCCTGAGCAACTAAGACTCAATCTCAAAAAAAAGAAAAAAAATCATTTTTTGCAGAAATTGATACGCTTAAGCTGATCCTAAAATTCATATGGAAATATAAGGAACCCAGAATAGCCAAAAAAGTCTTGAAAAATAAAAACAAATTCTATCAAAACCTCTGGGGTAGAAACAAGGTATCAGTATTTTTTAAAATTTTGGAAAAACAACATGCACAACCAATGTCGGGAAACACACTTTTAGGGCAGATAACTGTGCTGGACACTTGATTCATAACTAGCTCTGAATCTCAGTTTCCTTGTTTGTAAAATGAGTATACTTCCTGTCCTCAGTGCTATAAATGAGTATCTGTATAAGAAAGGGCTTCTAGAACACAAAGAATAACCCCTAAAAATCAAGTTTTTAGGCCGACACAGCGGCTTGCACTGATAATCTCACTGCTTTGGGAGGCAGGAGGATTGCTCGAGGCCAAAAGTTTTGAGAGCAGCCTGGGCAACATAGTGAGACTTCTGTCTCTACAAAAGAAGTAAAACTTAAAAATTAGCTAGGCTTGGCCGGGCGCAGTGGATCACGCCTGTAATCCCAGCTACTCGGGAGGCTGAGGCAGGAAAATTGCTTGAACTCGGGAGGGAGAGGTTGCAATGAGCCGAGATTGCACCATTGCACTCCAGCCTGGGGGACAAGAGTGAGACTTCATCTCAAAAAAAAAAACAAAAAACAAAAAAACAAAACAAGAAAAGCAAATTAGCTAGGCTCGTTGGCACACACTTGTAGTCCTAGCTGCTCAGAAGGCTGAAGCAGGAGGATTGTTCCAGCCCAGGAGTTTAAGGTTGCAGTTAGCTGTGATTGCACCACTGCACTCCAACCTGGATGACAGAGCAAGATGCTGTCTCTAAAATTAAAAAGATTTTAAAAAAATAGAAATTAAGTTTTTGAGTGATCTTGGTATATGGTGTCCATGGTAAAATTCTTCATCTTTCCTGTATGTTTGAAAATTTTCTTTTCTCCATACCTGGAACAAGGTTTGTGAACTGATTCTACCCCAGGAACTACTACTATATTTTCTCATTCTTTTCCAATTTTTTTTTGAGCTCTCTTTCAGTAATCTTAAGCTTTCTGTTCTTCAACAACAGAGCTAAACTTCTGTAGATGCATAATTCATATACATATATTTGAAATATATAATACTGTTTGGCCAGACAAGCATAGATGAATCCTAAAACATTCATAAAATTAATATTTTCCCTTAAATTTATCTTTAGTACTATTAAGTGAGAGAAGATAGTGAAATAGTTTATTCATCCTTGTCCTGAGTTCCTTGGGATTCTCAGATTAAAAATACAACTTTCAGTTCAAATTTGAGGGGGTTTGTAGGCTTATGGTAATGAAAAATAGAGAGAAGTATTTTTATTTTATTTCTATCTCCATATTTTTATACAAAATATATCTTATCCTAAATAATGTGATATTAGTAGCAGAATAACTAGACTGAAAGCTACTTTGTATGCATTTTTCCAGACTAAGTTAATTGCTACTGCCTCTGGATTTCCATGGCCCTCTGTTCATACCCTGATGCTATAAAAAGTGGCTATTACAGTTAATATTAACCTATATGTAGGTAAGTTTGTACACCGCACAAGACTGTGAGGTCCTTGGAGGTAGGAACTGTGTCTTATTAGTCATTGTATCATCAGTACATACATTTTTTCTGAGTATTTGTTATGCACAAATATAGTCCTAAGTGGTAGTAATTTGATGTCATTACTGTTTAGCACAGTTCCTGGCTTATAATAAGCACCCAATAAATGTTTCTGGAACTTAAACAGAATATAATATATTCTACTGCCTCAATAAGACAAAATAGAGGAAAGTGGTTAGACTAAGAAACCATTCAGTCATTTATTCATCAAATTGGCTAGGCTAATTCCAGAGAATAAATAATAGAGTCTCTTTCTAGAGTTATTGGTACTGGAATTATATAGGAGGGGTGAGGACCCATGTAATAATGGTTATCATTTGAATTAAAACTTAAATCCAAGAGGAGCACTAGCTCTTTTCCTATAAAACTGAAACTCTCCTGTGTTTCAGTCTCCATCTGTTGGGAGCAGGATTGTGGATGAAAACATTCAGAAGAGTAAGAATGCCCCTAAAATTCAGTCTTAGCTCAAATATGATTTTGTTGTATAAATTTGGAGATAAAGCATTTTTTTGTAAGCTCTGAAAAAAAATGGGGACTATATTATTTTACTCACTGGAGACTGATAAAGCTCAGTTGAGGTCTATACTTCTCACAATGCTCCAAGTCACTGAACAAAATTTAGGTCTACATTGAAAATGAATTTTAAAAACCTCGGGTTTTGTCCCTATAAACACTTTCTTTCCACAAAATGGTGGCATTTAGGAAGTCTTCCCCACTCATTCATCTTGAGAAAGTATTTGTATATATAATCTCTTCAATCCAAAGAAAAGAATTAAGGACATGATTTTCTGGATTTTCATTAGTAAAACTGGTATGCCATGTGATTTAAATAGTTGTTTTAGAAAACACACATATACATAATTCAGGGAAGGTGCTATTAACAAACATTGAATATTTGAGGGAAAATTGTCATACCAATGAAGCTAGCTCCAAAGCAGACCTTATAATGGCCAGAAAGTATACTAACTTGATGAAACTGGGATTTTGCTTCTAGTTCAGCTATGCCCAAGTGTGTGAACTTAGGAAGTCACTTCATCTCTTTGAGCCTAGTTTTTCTCAATTTTAAAATGAGATTTTGGGATAGATGATATCTAAAATAACTTTCAATGGTACAACTCAATGATTCTATAGTAAACAATGGAAAACTGATTCTTCATCCTTTTAATCACAAAGAAAAGACACACATGTTTATTTATTAATTTTCTGCCAAGATTTTGGCATTTATATAGTTGGGGGTTTTTCGTGTTTTGTTTGTTTGTTTTGGGTTTTTTTTTTTGAGGCAGAGTTTCACTCTGTCACTCAGGTTAGAGTGTAGCCTTGACTTCCCGGGCTTCATTAATTCTTCCACCTCAGCCTCCTGAGTAGCTGAGACTACTGGCAAGCACCACCACACCTTGCTAATTTTTTATTTTTTGTAGAGCTGAGGTCTCACTATGTTGCCCAAGCTGGTCTCGAATTCCTGGGCTCAAGTAATCTTCCCTCTTTGGCCTTCCAAAGTGGTGGGTTTACAGGTGTGAGCCATCACCCCCACCAGTATTTATATAGTTTAAAGGACTATTGTCAGCTGGGTGTGGTGGCTCATGTTTGTAATCCCACCACTTTGGGAGGCTGACGTGGGTGGATTGCTTGAGCTCAGGAGTTCAAGACTAGCTTGGGCAATATGGAGAAACCCTGTCTCTACGAAAAATACAAAAACTAGCCAGATGTGGTGGCACATGCCTGTAGTCTCAGCTACTTGGGAGGCTGAAGTCAGAGGATCACTTGAGCCTAGTAGGCGGAGGTTACAGTAAGCCGACACTACGCCACCGCACTCCAGAAAAAGGATTCTTGTGCACTCTAAATTTGTTGGCAAAGTAAAACAGTTAACCTTTATACCACAGGCTGAACTACTTCTCATATCAGCAAGGCTATCTTGTTTTCTTTCTTAATAACAATCATCCCAATCAGGACTCATAGGATGTGTACTTACACATTTTCTATTATACAATGAATAATTTCCTCTAAAAATACATTTATAATGTTGATCAATCATAGTGACATCATATTTTCCAAATTTTGCCGATTCCCTCAGTTTTAGAAAAAGAAGAAAATTCATGGCCAGCAATTGTGGTAAAAAGCTACAAAATAACAAAATAGACAGCAAGATCTTTCCAGTAGTTTAACTAGATGGCCAAAGTAATCTACCATTGAAAAGTAAAGAAATATCACTAACTATATTCTATAACTTTGTTCTGTACTCACTCTAAAACAACACGGAAAATTACTAGTTAGAGAGACAAATAACATAGATAAGAGGCAAAATCTGGCACATAAATTTTGATTTTGACTCTTTCAAGAGCCACACAATTCCCTGAAATTAAATATCATTAAGATACTTGCCTATAGAAGAGACACACAAAAAATTACTAAAATAAATCTTATTATGTGGCATTTTCAATTGAAACAAGAGTAAATATTTTTGCTAATAATTCTATGGTTTGATAGCCCCTAGTTTGCCTATTTTTTTTGCACTAGACTCAAACTGTTCATCTGCAGTGTCTTTCAATGTCTATTTTTAAAGTTCTTAAGAGAAGATTCCCTGTCAGCAATATAACTTCCAGTTTTATAGCTTTTAGATAATCTTTTAAAAATATACTTTAAAGATTAATATAGTACTTCATATTCAGTGAGGAAAAGGAAGCAAAAATTAGCAAGTAAAATTATAGAATATAATTGAGGATAGTACATTTTAGCAAAAAGAAATGCAGGTGCAGGTTTAAATTACAGGAAAGTATTAATTTTAATGTTCATAATAAGGAGAGTTGCCAACGTGATAAAGGATGGAATCATCAGTTTACAGCTATTGGTGACATTTCCTATTGTCATTCAGCCAACTAATTGCCTTTTTGCCTAGATGAATTTATTTTTCTTTTTTAAGTGATGGGGACTCTGTCCACCAGGCTGGAGTGGAGTGGCATTGTGATAGCTCACTGCAGCCTCAAAATATTGGGCTCAAATGATTCTCCTGCCTCAGCCTCCTGGGTAGCCAGGTCTACAAGCACATGCCACTATGCCCAGCTAATTTTTAAAATTTTTGTAGAAACAATGTCTTCCTCGGTTGACTGGGCTGGTCTCCAACTACTGGGCTCAAGCGATTCTCCTGCCTTGGCCTCCTAAACTTTTGAGATGACAGGTGTGAGCCATCACATCTGGCCCAGATGAATTCCTTATAACAGACATGTTACAGGAAATTCTGTGTTTGCTAAAATATGTTATATTTTAAAACTTCTGCTTACATAATCTGTCTTGATATATGGATATTGCTTAGATGATATAAATGGCAATTATTAGCAAGCACTCCATGTGAAATATGACAGAAAGTATAGGATTGTGAAGTCTCTGGAAAACTAACATTTTAAATAAAGCGTGAATAATATTAGGAACTATTTTCTGACATCCAAAGTCATAGTTATTACTATATTTACTCAAAAATATTACACATCAGAAATAAACTGTAAGTAGAATACTATTTTATAAAAATAAGATTATAGTAGATTGATAAAAAATTATATCAACAAACAGATGTAAAGAGTATATTTTCTGAACACTTAATATCATATGAATAGATACTAATGAGAAATATTTTTCTCTTTTAATGTATTGAAAATATATTTCATTATTGTGTGAAAAAATAAAAAACAGTGGTCAGCTATATTTAAATATTAATATTACTGTACACTATATTTCACTATATGTATACTATTGAAGACTGATTTTTCCTAAGTTTACACAATAGAAGTAATGTCATTCACAATCCCTATCAATATGCTCACTAAAAATACCCTTCGGCTAGAGTTAACCTGTGGAAACTTTATGTAATGCAAATGATATCCTTGTCAGTTTCACTTTTTTAGCCAAATTCCCTTTGCAAATCCTGTGTATCTAGTAATAGTCCCATAATGCTTTCAGGAATTTCATGAAATCTATCCCCTCCTATGGCAGATTCATTTATCACAGGAAGTACTAGAAATGCAAAAGTGCAAACAATGATTTTTCATTAGCTGGAGAGTCATCCTTAAGCATTTAAATATAATACAGACACATTATGAAAGCAATTACAGTGCACATAGCTACTGAAATCTGAACATGGACCAGTTTTAAATTGCTTTAAAATCAATAACATATATCACTGGTCATAATTATCAAACATCAGAAGTAATGTAGGGTTGTATATAATTATGGTTACAGTCATGGGATTTTACAACAAAGCCAACGACCTCTGGAATTGAATCTTTTTCACTTGCACTGCCTAATTCTGTTTAAATGGGGACTTATGTATGTAATAGAGCAAAGAAAAAAAGATAGGTTTTGTGATTACAAATACCCTGTACAGACAATAAAATCCCATAGGCAAGATGGCTTTGGTAATACATTAAGAGTTTTGCAGAGACTGCTTTGAGTGAGTCCATGTTCTTTGTCAATAAAATGGAAAACTGGATTGTGATCTCAACTTTCACTTTTCAAAATATACAAGGAGACTGCTGATTATCAGAGCATCTTTAAATTATAAAGCTTTAGCATTGAGGCTGCAATAAGACTCTCTTGGTGTTCAATATATGCCAAGAATGATCTTTTTAAACTCTATTTATGATACCTTAAAATTATTGATTTATTTGTATCCAATCAATGAGTCAATTACTCTTAATCCTATAATACCATCATGAAAATAATTTGTCAAGCAGCATACTGTATGTATTAGTCTGTTTTCACACTGCTGATAAAGACATAGCTGAGACTGGGCAATTTACAAAAGAAAGAGGTGTACTGCACTTACAGTTCCACATGGCTGGGGAGGCCTCATAATCATGGCAGAAGGTAAAAAGTAAGGAGGAGCAAGTCATATCTTACATGGATGGCGGCAGGCAAAAACAGAGCTTGTGCAGGGAAACTCCCATTTTAAAACCATCAGGTCTCTTGAGACTCATTCACTATCACAAGAACAGTGCAGGAAAGACCTGCCCCCATAAGTCAATCACCTCCCACCGTGTTCCTCCCATGACATGTGGGAATTCTAAGACTTACAATTCAAGATGAGATTTGGGTATGGACACAGCCAAACCATATCATGATAATATATATAGAATTCTTGCATCAGAATTACAAAAAAAAAATGACATTTAAAAAATGACACTCTTTAACTCCAGGATTCTTTGCAG
Organism: Homo sapiens; assembly: GCF_000001405.40. Lineage (NCBI taxonomy): Eukaryota > Metazoa > Chordata > Mammalia > Primates > Hominidae > Homo > Homo sapiens. The sequence goes on along the minus strand of NC_000023.11, from coordinate 92,164,614 downwards.
TTACATGTGTTAGTATTTATTTTAAGCAATAGCCTTTGTTTTTAATTTTATTCACGTTTTCACTGCTTGTCTATGTATGTGCACACTTTACTTCAAACCTTGCCTTCAAGAACATTCATGAATACATGTTATTCCTGCCATACCTCAGATCATTTCTAGTGAAACAATATACAACAAAATAGAATTACTTCTCATTAGAAGACAATCCAAGAAGAAATACTTATCTTAGGGCTTTCACAACATTGATTGTTTTTTAGATGGTGGCATATTCCTCCTTAACGGTTTTCTACTTCACCCTCTTTATATCAGCAAACCTGTACTTGTCCAACATCTGACTCAACAATAAAGTCATCCTGTTTAGTAAAACAAAATAAATAGCAACAAAAAATAACAAAAGAGAATCAGCTCATTATTGGTATATTTCAGTAAGAAGAAGCCCGTGTCATAAATGTTACTTCCAACTTTGAGCAAGATGGAGATATCATTGCAGCTTACTTGGAAACCAGATGATAATTCTAATTAAAAAGTATTTTCTCTATAAATGTCAGTTAAATTTGAAAAACAATAATTCTTGATGGCAACATAATACAGTAATTAAAATTTAATCTATGCATCAAGATGAGTCATTTATGTTTGCAAAGTACAGTCTCTTTAGATTATTTCATTTTTTTAACTGTAAAATGACTAAAACTTTGCGTTATTTTGAAGTTGTAAAATATGAAAACTAGTCCCTGGTGCAGAGAGAGAAGATGGTGGATAGGAGGCAGGACTAGCTTGCAGTTCCAGCTCAGACAGACAGAGCAGTGTGTGGAGACCTGCATCGTGAACCTTTGCTCCGGAACTCCTACAGAAATATACCAAGAAAGCCAAGAGAATCCACAGACCCTCTGAAGGAAGTGGATTGCTCCTGCAGGAGCCGGGAGACAGCCCAAATACTGAGAGTACCCAAGCTGTGACAGTGGGAAAGGGGGACTGTCTGCCCCCAAACACACGCCCTCACTGGGGAACCTGAGGGTCTAAATCACGGGAGAGGCATTTGACCTCATCTAGAGCTGAGTCAATTTAGATAGCCAAGTGAAATACAGGGGTAGAGGAAGCAGTGGAAAAAGCCCTGTGGGCTCTCTGGGTCCCCAGGGTAGCTATTTCTGACTTGTCTCACAGGGGTCCTTGGGGAGGGCTGCCAGAGGAACTGGGAAAAGACCACAGGGAGAAGGAAACCTCCAGCTGAACTTTGTAACAATTCCAACCAAATGCGAAGTCTCCTGGCCAGAACTCAGGGTAGGGCGTGAATCTGGTATGCAGAATCGACAGGTGGGGAGGCGCAAAAGCCATGCTTGCTTTCTCTGTGGGGAGGCTGGTAGCCTGGGGCAAGCTCTCAGCCCTGCGTCCCCACTGCCTGGAAACAAACTCAGCACTGTTTTGGCGGGGGGCACGGTGGGAGTGAGACAGGCCTTTTGGGTTGCATGAGAGCTAGGTGAGGTCTGTAACTGCCGGCTTTCCCCTACTTCCCTGACAAACTGCATGACACAGCAGAGACTGCCATAATCCTCCTGGGAACATAACTCCATTGACCTGGAAACCACACCCCCATCCACCACAGCAGCCACAGCATGCCCTGCCCAAAGAGAATCTGAGCTCAGACACACCTAACCCTGCCCCCACCTGATGGTCCTTCCCTACCCACCTTGGTAGCTGAAGACAAAGGGGATATCCTCTTGGGAGTTCTAGGGCCCTGTGCACCACCTGTTCCTCCCTATACTACCACAGCTGATGCTCTCTTGAAAGCACCACCTCCTGGCAGGTGGCCAACCAGCACAAAAATAGTGCATTAAACAATCAAAACTAAGGACCCTCACAGAGTCCATTTCATTCCCCTGCCACCTCCACCAGAGCAGGTGATGGTATCCACAGCTGAGGATACCGAAGACACTTCACATCACAGGACTTTGTGCAGACAATCCCCAGTACCAACCCAAAGCCTGTTAGCCCTTCTGCATGGCTAGATCCAGAAGATAAGTAACAATTATTAGAGTTCCGCTCTCAGGAAGCCACATCCTTAGGAAAAGGGGAAGAGTACTACATCAAGGGAACACCCCATGGGACAAAAGAATCTAAACAGCAATGTCCAGGAGCGGTGGCTCACACCTGTAATCCCAGCAGTTTGAGAGGCCGAGGGAGGCAGATCATCTGAGGTCAGGAGTTCAAGACCAGCCTAGCCAATATGGTGAAACCTCATCTCTACTAAAAATACAAAAATTAGCCAGACATGGTGGTGCACACCTGTAATCCCAGCTACTCAGGAAGCTGAGACAGGAGAATCGCTTGAACCCAGGAGGCAGAGGTTGCAGTAAGCCGAGATCGCACCACTGCACTCCAGCATGGGTGACAAAGTAGGACTCCATTTCAAAAAAAAAAAAAAAAAATCTAAACAGCAACCTTGAGCCCCAGATCTTCCCTCCGATATAACCCACCCAAATGAGAAGGAACCAGAAAAATAATTCTCATAATATGACAAAACAAGGTTTTTTAACACTCCCCCAAAAATCACACTTGCTCACCAGCAATAAATACAAACCAAGAATAAATCTCTGATATACCTGAAAAAGAATTCAGAAAGTTGATTACTAAGCTAATCAAGGAGGCACCAGAGAAAGGTGAAGTCCAACTTAATGAAGTCAAATAAATGATACAAGATATCAGGGGACAAACCTTCAGTGAAATAGATAGCATAAATAAAAAACAATGACAACTTTAGGAAATAAAGGGCACATTCAGAGAAATGCAAAATGTACTGGAAAGTCTCAGCAATAGAATCAGACAAGCAGAAGAAAGAACTTCAGAGCTCAAAGACAAGGTTTTCTAATTAACTCAATCCAACAAAGACAAAGAGAAAAGAATTTTAAAAAACGAACAAAGCCTCCAAGAAGTTTAGGATTATGATAAATGACCAAACCTAAGAATAATTGGCATTCCTGAGGAAGAAGAGAAATCTAAAAGTCTGGAAAACATATTTGGGGGACTAATTGAGGAAAACTTCCCCGGCCTTGCTAGAGACCTAGACATTCAAATACAAAAAGCTCAAAGAACACCTGGGAAATTCATCGCAAAAAGATCATGTCTAGGCACATTGTCATCATGTTATCAAAAGTCAAGGTGAAGGAAAGAATCTTAAGAGCTGTGAGGAAAAAACACCAGGTAACCTAAAAAAGAAAACGTATCAGATTAACAGCCGATTTGTCAGCAGAAACCCTCCAAGCTAGAAGGGATTGGGGCCCTATCTTTAACTTCCTTAAACAAAATAATTATCAGCCAAAAGTTTTGTATCCAGCAAAACTAAGCTTTATAAATGAAGAAAAGATACAGTCTTTTTCAGACAAACAAATGCTGAGAGAATTTGCCACTACCAAGCCAGCACTACAAGAACTGCTAAAAGGAGCTATCAATTTTGAAACACATCCTGGAAACACATTAAAACATAACCTCTTTAAAGAACAAATCTCACAGAGTGGGAGAAAATCTTCACAATCTATACATACAACAAAGGACTAATATCCAGAATCTACAAGGAACTCAAATTAACAAGAAATAAAAAAAAATCCCAGCAAAAAGTGGGCTAAGGACACGAATAGACATGTCTCAACAGAAGATATACAAGTGGCCAACAAACATATAAGAAACTGATCAACAGCACTAATGATCAGGGATTCCAAATAAAAACCACAATGTGATACGACCTTACTCCCGCAAGAATGGCCATAATTAAAAAATCAAAAAATAATACATGTTGTCATGGATGCAGTGAAAAGGGAACACTTCTATACTGCTGGTGGAAATGTAAACTAGTACAACTATTATGAAAAACAGTGTGGAGATTCCTTAAAGAACTAAAAGTAGAACTACCATTTGATCCAGTACTCCCACTACTGGGTATCTACCCAGAAGAAAAGAAGTCATTATAAAAAAAAAAAAAAAAGAAAAAAAAATACCTGCACATGCATGTTTATAGCAGCAAAATTTACAATTGCAAAAATATGGAACCAGCCCAAATGCCCATCACTCAACGAGTGGATAAAGAATCTGTGGTATATATTTGATGGGATACTACTCAGCCATAAAAAGGAATGAATTAATGGCATTTGCAGCAACCTGGATAGGATCGGAGACTATGATTCTAAGTGAAGTAACTCAGGAATGGAAAATCAAATATCCTATGTTCTCACTCATAAGCGGGAGCTAAGCTGTGAGAATGCAGAGGCATAAGAATAATGCAGCAGACTTTGGGACTCAGGGGGAAAGGGTGGGAAGGGAGTGAGAAATAAAAGGCTACAAATTGGGTTCAATGTATGCTGCTTGGGAGATTCGTGCACAAAAATCTAACAAATCCCCACAAAAGAACTTACTCATGTAACTAAATACCACCTGGTTATTTCTAATAACCTATGGAAATTAAAAAAAAAAGAAAAAAAACAGCTGGCCAGTAGAGACAGCCAGCTACAGACCAAAATAAATAAACAAACAAAAAAATAAACAAAACCATTCCCTGTTAAATAAAATGTATGAACGGCCATTGTTTTGGGCTGAGCTCCTGCACTAGGCCCCAGTAGAGCAAACCAAAATGGAGTCTCATGATAAGTGCCTTATAATCAAACTGAAACATTAAGGAAGCAGGTAAATCCCCAAATCTTTTTTTTTTGAAAACAGGAGATTCATAACAAACAATTGAAGAGGGCCCAGTAAACCTGAGCCAGCAAAACAAGGAAGTCCTCTCAGCTTTAACCCTTACAAAAAAAAAAAAAAAAATGAGGTAACCTGATGTCACTCCACATTTTAATCTGTTTCCTTGTTTGCACTTTAAAAAAACAACTGTTCAGCACTCATTCTGTTTTATAGAATGAGATGTTGCCTGATTCTAGAATCACTAATAAAAGTCAATTATGTCTTTAAACTAAATTCATTGTAATTTGGTTTTTGACACTCTTAAATTGCCTTTTTTTTTTTAATCCCAATGAGGTTAAGTTTACCACCAATTACCTTTTCATTTGTTCTAGAAAATTTCCCTTTATACTCTAAAACATACACACACTTGTGTTTTTTATTCTCCTG